>NC_000005.10:95867382-96170413 GCF_000001405.40 Homo sapiens | reverse complement strand
CCAGCACACAAGAACTCCAAACGCCTGAACCACAGCTGCCAGGGGTTCCTCCAGAACCTCCTCCCGCAGCTTGCTACAAGTGCCAGAAATCTGGCCACTGGGCCAAGGAATGCCGGCAGCCCGGGATTCCTCCTAAGTCGTGTCCCATCTGTGCAGGACCCCACTGTTCAACTCACCTGGCAGCCACTCCCAGAGCCCCTGGAACTCTGGCCCAAGGCTCTCTGACTGACTCCTTCCCAGATTTACTCGGCTTAGCGGCTGAAGACCGATGCTGCCCGATTGCCTCGGAAGCCCCCTAGACCATCACGGACGCCAAGCTTTGGGTAACTCTCACAGTGGAGGGTAAGTCCATACCCTTCTTAATCAATACAGAGGCTACCCACTCCACATTACCTTCTTTTCAAGGGCCTTGTTCCTTTGCCTCCATAACTGTTGTGGGTATTGACGGCCAGGCTTCTAAACCTCTTAAAACTCCCCAACTCTGGTGCCAACTTAGACAATACTCTTTTAAGCACTCCTTTTAATTATCCCCACCTGCCCAGCTCCCTTATTAGGTCAAAACATTTTAACTAAATTATCTGCTTCCCTGACTATTCCTGGGCTACAGCCACACCTCATTGTCTCCTTTTTCACCAATTCAAAGCCTCCTTGACATCCTCCCCTTGTATCTCCCCAACTTAAACCACAAATATAGCACACCTCTATTCCCTCCTTGGTGACCGATCATGCACCCCTTACCATCCCATTAAAACCTAATCACCCTTACCCCACTCAACGCCAATATCCCATCCCACAGCACGCTTTAAAAGGATTAAAGCCTGTTATCACTCGCCTGCTACAGCATGGGCTTCTAAAACCTATAAACTCTCCTTACAATTCCCCCATTTTACCTGTCCAAAAACCGGACAAGTCTTACAAGTTAGTTCAGGATCTGCACCTTATCAACCAAATTGTTTTGCCTACCCACCCCATGGTGCCAAACCCATATACTCTCCTATCCTCAATACCTCCCTCCACAACCCATTATTCTGTTCTGGATCCCAAACATGCTTTCTTTACTATTCCTTTGCACCCTTCATCCCAGCCTCTCTTCGCTTTCAGTTGGACTGACCCTGACACCCATCAGGCTCAGCAAATTACCTGGGCTGTACTGCTGCAAGGCTTCACAGACAGCCCCCATTATCTCAGTCAAGCCCAAATTTCATCCTCATCTGTTACCTATCTCGGCATAATTCTCATAAAAACACACGTGCTCTCCCTGCTGCTCGTGTCCGGCTAATCTCCCAAACCCCAATCCCTTCTACAAAACAACAACTCCTTTCCTTCCTAGGTATGGTTAGTGCAGTCAGAATTCTTACACAAGAGCCGGGACCGCGCCCTGTAGCCTTTTTATGCAAACAACTTGACCTTACTGTTTTAGCCTAGCCCTCATGTCTGCGTGTGGTGGCTGCTGCTCCTTAATACTTTTAGAGGCCCTCAAAATCACAAACTATGCTCAATTAACTCTCTACAATTCTCATAACTTTCAAAATCTATTTTCTTCCTCCCACCTGACACATATACTTTTTGCTTCCCAGCTCCTTCAGCTATACTCACTCTTTGTTGAGTCTCCCACAATTACCATTGTTCCTGGCCCGGACTTTAATCGAGCCTCACACATTATTCCGGATACCACACCTGACCCCCATGACTGTATCTCTCTAATCCACCTGACATTCACCCCATTTCCCCATATTTCCTTCTTTCCTGTTTCTCACCCTGATCACATTTGGATTATTGATGGCAGTTCCACCAGGCCTAATCGCCACTCACCAGCAAAGGCAAGCTATGCTATAGTATCTTCCACATCTATCATTGAGGCTACCGCTCTGCCCCGCTCCACTACCTCTTAGCAAGCTGAACTCATTGCCTCAACTCAAGCCCTCACTCTTGCAAAGGAATTACGCGTCAATATTTATACTGACTCTAAATATGCCTTCTATGTCCTGCACCACCATGCTGTTGTATAGGCAGAAAGAGGTTTCCTCACTACACAAGGGTCCTCCATCATTAATGCCTCTTTAATAAAAACACTTCTCAAGGCCAATTTACTTCCAAAGGAAGCTGGAGTCATTCACTGCAAGGGCCATCAAAAGGCATCAGATCCCATTGCTCAGGACAATGCTTACGCTGATAAGGTAGCTAAAAGCAGCTAGCGTTCCAACTTCTATCCCTCATGGCAGTTTTTCTCCTTCTCATCTGGCCACTCCCACCTACTCCCCCACTGAAACTTCCACCTATCAATCTCTTCTCACACAAGGCAAATGGTTCTTGGACCAAGGAAAATATCTCCTTCCAGCCTCACAGGCCCATTCTATTCTGTCATCATTTCATAACTTCTTCTATGTAAGTTACAAGCCACTAGCCCACCTCTTAGAACCTCTCATTTCCTTCCCATGGTGGAAATCTATCCTTAAGGAAATCACTTCTCAGTGTTCCATCTGCTATTCTACTACTCCTCAGGGATTGTTCAGGCCCCCCCACCCACTTCCCTACACATGAAGCTCGGGCATTTGGCCCCGCCCAGGACCGGCAAATTGACTTTACTCACATGCCTCGAGTTAGGAAACTAAAATACCTCTTGGTCTGGGTAGACACTTTCACTGGATGGGTAGAGGCCTTTCCCACAGGGTCTGAGAAGGCCACCGCCGTCATTTCTTCCCTTCTGTCAGACAGAATTCCTCAGTTTGGCCTTCCCACCTCTATACAGTCTGATAATGGACCAACCTTTATTAGTCAAATCACCCAAGCAGTTTTTCAGGCTCTTGGTATTCAGTGAACTAATGGTCTTTTAAAAACACACCTCACCAAGCTCAGCCACCAACTTAAAGAGGACTGGACAATACTTTTACCACTTGCCCTTCTCAGAATTCGGGCCTGTCCTTGGAATGCTACAGGGTACAGCCCATTTGAGCTCCTGCATGGACACTCCTTTTTATTAGGCCCCAGTCTCATCCCAGACACCAGACCAACTTGGACTGCGCCCCAAAAAACTTGTCATCCCTACTATCTTCTGTCTAGTCATACACCTATTCACCATTCTCAACTACACATAAATGCCCTGCTCTTGTTTACACTGCCGGTTTACACTGTTTCTCCAAGCCATCACAGCTGATATCTCCCAGTGCTATCCCCAAACCAGCACTCTTAACTCTTAAAGTAAATAAATAATCTTTGCTGGCAGGGCTATGCTGAAGCTCCTTGGGCACTCTAATTGGATGTCCTGGGTCCTCCCAATTCTTAGTACTTTAATACCTGTTTCTCTCCTTCTCTTATTCCTTTTAGGTTTTCAATTCATACAAAACCGTATCCAGGCCATCACCAATAATTCTGTATGACAAATGTTTCTTCCAACAACCCCACAATATCGCCCCTTACCACAAAACCTTCCTTCAGCTTAATCTCTCCCACTCTAGGTTCCCAAGCCGCTCGTAATCCCACTGGAAGCAGCCCTGAGAAGCATCGCCCCTTATCTCTCCAAACATTTTCACCACCCCAACACTTTACCACTATTTTGTTTTATTTTTCTTATTAATATAAGAAGACATGGACTACTATATAACACCCAAAATTATGTCTATTAATTTCTTGGAAATCTGAATTCATGAGTGAGGATAGGAAGTTTGGGTCCTGTATGATCCAGCTTCTTGGGTGTGCTATTCAAATGAACCTCATGATTGCCAAGGCTATGCTTCAATTGATTATCTAGATTTGTATATTCATTAGACATTTTTCTCCAAATTTTTTCAAAATAAACATAATTATAAATTCAATCATTAAATATGATTATAGCTGGGAAGCTTTATTTAATAAGAAAAGCTACCTGGAGCACTTAAATCAGTTATTTGCTGTGATGGTCCCTGGATGGTGTTTCTGTATCCTGGGACACAGAAACCGAGATGTGAGCTGAAGGGCACACACACTGCTGCAGGGATGGGCAGATGCATTGGTGTGCTGAAGTAGGCTCATTCTGGCCCATGAGGGCTGACTGTTAAATTTTCAGGAATTTTGCAAACCTGTTGTTAAATACTTCTGTTATTAAAAATTAAGTTAGATAAACTTGCAACTATATTAATGATATTTAAAATGAAGGTATTAAATTATCAGAAAATTAAAATAAAGGTACTACCTACTTAAAACATCATTTCCTAATTATTTTACTACATTTACTGTGGTCTGTGCTCTTGAGTTTATTCACATCTGTTTTATCTGCAGGGGGGAAACACTGTGGACTGGCATGCTGCTGGCCACCACTTCCCAGCTGAAGACTCAGGAGCGCCATGTGGAAGAACTCATCTCACAGATATTGGCAAAAGCTACCAAGCAGGACTTGATTTATTGTTTTGTTCATTGTCTAGACTAAGAAAGTGATGAAATGTTAATAATGGATAATGATTAATGAAATGGATAATGAAAATGAAAAATAATTAATGTAAATTAAATGTGAAAGTGTGTCCTACTTGTAGCTGTTATACTGTGAATAACTTTAAGAAGAAACCTTAGTAAATATTCCTCCAGTTTTCAAAAATTATTTTCTAGTTCGGCAAAGAAGTCATTCACATCACTGATAAATGAATGAAGTTCTAACAGATGTCTTTATTGATTCACTTTTATTTTATTTGTTAACATAAATGAAAATACAGGTGATGTTCATGTCAGAACACTTTCATCAAATGCAACCACAGTTTGGCTATGAATATAGAAGCCTGGCAAAAATCAATAAAAGCAGTCTGTGAGAATCAATTGATTATAAGGAATTTCCAATAAAGAATATTATATATGTTGTTACTTGTAAATAGCATGATATACCTTCTTTATATCAGAAAAGTTTATAATAAAGTTATGTGTGTATGTATATATATGCATTTTTTTTCTTTACCAACATACCATTGGGTAGTTATTCAGCAGGGAAAAAGAAGAAATTATACCCCAGTACTTTCTAAAAGCACAAATACAGTGGATTCTTATGTTTTGCAACTCTTTAAAGTTCTTAATACTTTTCCACATGGACTTTTCTGGTTTAAACTCCATCCTTAGTCTATCTACCCCTCTGCACACATATATCCTCCCTAATAAAAAAAGGCACTCAGCTCAGCTGTGGCTAAGGCTCCAGCTCTATCCCCCTTCTCTATTCCATTTGTCTTCTCTTTTCAAGGCCCCAAAGACACTGTCATTTTAGCTAGTGGGAAAAAAAAAGACTAAGGAATCTGCCGAGGTGTCATGTCAGATTCCACTGCTGCATTCTCCCCTCCTGTCCCCCACTTATCTGACCGCTCTCGGAGGCCTCACTTCCTCCTCAGCCACTTCTAATCTTCTCAAAATCAAAATATTTACAAATATAACCATCAAATGACAGCTCTTCAGTATAGAATAATGTATATAACCATCTCTTCCCAGAATTCCCATTCTTCACGTTCCACCCCACTACCAAGGCTGCCTTCTCCTTCCCTCACCTTTCCCATGCCAGGCTCTGCACGATTCCAGAATCATTGCCAGTACCATTCCCAGTACTTCCACCTAACCCACTGAATCAGTCTAAAAAGAGAAAGAAGAAAAGGAAAATATTAGATCTAGGCTTATGGCATTTATTTGCATTCTTGGCCAACCCAGGGCATAACTGTAACCCATCAAAGTTACACTTTTTTTCTCTGCACTTTTTCTCTCTGCACGCTTCCCTTCTGTACTCTGGTTGCTCATGAACCTCACTAACACAACGTTCAGGCTATTATAGGGCAGAGACTATATCTGTCTTGTTCTCTTCTATATCCCTATTGCCTGGCACAGAGTGGGTATTCAATAAATGTTTGCGAACTGATTGTTGACCATCAGTCAACTGTCTTCCTCATCTTACTTTGCAGTGCCTCCTCCAGCAAATCTTACTCCTTATGGGTTCCATTATTTCAGATTCTGCCAGTGACAGGCTAGACAGACTAATTATCCAAACTGAAGCCAAAATGAGGCTGCACCCAGAATATAGCTTCTCTTTAACTCAAAGGAAAGAGTACTTTAGCTCTGTCCCTTTGATTTCAGTTGACACTTTCTACTTTGTGTTACATTTATAAGTGAATATGTCTCATCTCTCATACATTTCTGTGAACAGAGATTGACATATTTGCTTTTATTCTTTCTATTCTTTCTTTACGTACAACATACCTTGTATATAAATGTACATAAATAGACACATGTGTATGTATGTGTGCATATTTTTTCCTCCCCAAAACATATGTATGTGAGAGAGAGCGTAGAGAACAGAGTGAAAAATACATATTAATATTTTTCAGCCAATGACAATTAAGTGCTTACTATTGAAGTCAGGCACTAGTCTCAGTGTTTTTTTTTCATGTACCAATTCATCTAATTCTTACAACAATCCTATGAGTTAATATAATGTCATTATGCCCATTTTACAGATGAAGAAACAGAGATACTAAGTAATGTGCCCATTGTTAAATACCTTATAAGCAGCAGAGCTGGAATTCAAACCCACAGAGTTGGCAGTGACCCTACATAGTGACCATGTTGTTCATGTTACATCTGATCCTCGCAACAGTTTTATGGGGTAGGCAGACACCATTCTGCCAGAGAAAATGGGGACTAGGAAAATTAAGTAACTTACACAAGATTGCATTGTAGGTAAGGAACAATCCCAGTAATGGCCATGAATACTGTGACCCCAAATTTGGTACTAAGGATGTCCTAAGTCTTGATACCTGATTGGATTTCAGGCCCAGTGGCTGGGCAATAGAAATCTACTGTTAAAAACAATATCCTTTTACATTTCCAGTGGCATTATTCAGAAAGTAATCTAGCTATATCTATTAAAATTAAAAATATAGAAAAATCCCACTTCATAAATCTGCACTGAAGAATTTTAAGTATCAGAACATAAGAATATACAAACAAAGATATTTATTATGGTATTAACTGCAATACCAAGAAATTGGAAACAGCCTGAATGTCTGTCAATAGCTAAATAGTAATTATGGAATAGAAAAAGAATAGAGAAGATCGACAAAATCAAAAGTTGGTTCTTTTAAAAGGTCAATGAAATTTTAGCTAGACTGACAGGAAAACTTTAGCTGGACTGACAGAAAAAAAGAAAGAACATGCAAATTATTAAAATCAGGAATGAAAGCAGAAACATCACTACTGATCCTCTAGAAATAAAAAGGATTATAAGAGAAGACAATGTACAACTGAATGCCAACAAATGAGATATCCTAGATTAAATGGACAAATTCCTAGAAAAACAGAAACTAACAAAACTGGCTCAAGAAGCAGAAAATCTGAATAAACCTATAAAAAGGAAAGATGTTGAATTAGTAATTTAAAAGCTACCCTCAAAGAAAAGCCCAGTAGAATTCACCGCTGAATTCTACTAAACATTGAAATTAAAACTGAAACTTGCAAACTCTTCTGAAAAATAGAAGAAAAATAAACATTTCTTAACTCATTACAAGAGACCAATATTATCCTAATTATAAAACCAGACCAAATGTCATAAGACATGAAAACTATAAACCAATATCGCTTATCAATATAGACACAAAAATCATCAACAAATATTAACAAACCAAATCAGAGCAATATATTAAAAAGGGTTATACACCATGATAAACTATCCCAAGAATAGAAAGATGATGTAACATTAAAATCAGGCCGGGTGCAGTGGCTCATGCCTGTAATCACAGTACTTTGGGAAGCTGAGGCGGATGGATTACCTCGGGTCAGGAGTTCGAGATCAGCCTGGCCAACATGGTGAAACAGCGTCTCTACTAAAAATACAAAAATTAGCCAGGTGTGGTGGCACACGCCTGTAATCCCAGCTACTCAGGAGGCTAAGGCAGGAGAATTGCTTGAACCCGGGAGGCAGAAGTTGCAGTGAGCCAAGATCACCCCACTGCACTCCAGCCTGGGCGACAGAGCAAGACACTGTCTCAAAAAACAAACAAACAAACAAACAATATACCATCCCGTGCTAGTAGAATGAAGTAGAAAAATCACATGATCATCGCAATAAATGTAGGAAAAGCATTCTATAAAAATTCTACATCTTTCATGACAAAAAATATTCAACAAGGTAATGAAATGAGACTTTCTCAAAATGATAAATGGCACCTAGGAAAAACCTATAGCTAATATCATAATTTATGATACAAGACTGAATGCTTTACTCCCAACAGCAGGAACAAGACATGGATGTTGGCTCCTACCACTTCTATCCAACATTGTACTAGAGGTTCTAGCCAGAACAATTAGGCAGAAAAAGAAACCAAAAAGCATCTATATTGGAAAAGAAGAAGTGTAAGTTCTCTGTTTACAGATAAGATGATCTTGTATACAGAAAATCCAAAGGCATCCACAAGAGAAGCATTGGAACTAATACATAAGTTTAGTAGATTGCAGGATATAATATCAATACACAAAAATCAATCGTATTTCTATCTGCTAGCAATGAACAATTGAAAAATAAAATTAAGAAAACAATTCTATTTACAATAACATCCAAAAGAATAAAATACCTAGGAATAAGTTTCACAAAAGAAGAGCAAGATTTGCACTTCAAACACTACAATGCATTGTTGAAAGAAATTAAAGACATAAATAAGTGAAAAGATATCCTATGTTCATAGATCAGAAAACTTAATATTATTAGGATAGCAACACTCCACAAGTTGATCTACAGATTCAATACAATCCCTATCAAAACTTCAGCTGTCTTCTTGTAGAAATTGGCAAGGTGATCCTAAATTCATATGGAAATGCAAGAACAGCCAAAACAATCTTGAAAAAGAACAAAGTAGGACTCATACCTCCTGCTTTTAAAATTTACTATAACGTTACAGTAAGCAAAACAGTGTGGTACTGGCATAAGAGCAGACTATAGATCAACAGAATAGAATTGAGGATTCAGCTATAAATCATTTTTTTATGGTTGGTTAGTTTTCAACAGAGGTGCCAAGATCATTTAATAAAGAAAGAATAATATTTTCAACAAACGGTTCTGGAACAATATATAAAGAACTTTTACAACTCAACAATATGCACATGTAAAAGAATGAAGTTGGACCACCTACCACACTTTATGTACAAAATTTAACTCAAAATAGAAAACTGGCCTAATTATAAGAGCTAAAACTATAAAACTCTTTAGATGAAAACAAAGGAGGAAATCTTCATGACCTTAGTTTAGGCAGTGGTTTCTTAGGTATGACATCAACAGACAGCACAAGAGATAGAAGAAAAAATAAATTGGTCTTCACAAATTTAAAAAATTTTGAGCTTCAAAGGACACCATCAATAAAGTGAAAAAACAACATACAGAAAGGTAAACAATATTTGCAAATCATAGATCTGCAAAGGGACTTATACCCAGAATATATAAAGGGCTCTTACAATTCAATAATAAATAGACAACCCAAGTAAAAGATGGGCAAATTATTGTAATTAACAGGCAGTTCTCCAAAGAAAATATACAAATGACCAATAAGCACATACAAAATGCTCATCATTAATCATTGGGGGAAATACCAATCTAACCCACAGTGAGATAGACACCACTTCACACCCAGTAGGGTGAATATTATAAGAAAGACAGAAAATAAGTGTTAATGAAGATATGGAGAAATTAGAACCTTCACACACTGCTATTAGGATTGTAAAATGTTGTAACTACTTAGGGAAACAGTTTGGCAGTTCCTAAAAATGTTAAATATAGGGTTACCATATGGTACAGCAATTCCACTCCTAGGTAAATGCCCAGAAGACTTGAAAACATATGTGTACTCAAAACTTGAACATAATGTTTACAGCAGCAGTATTCATAATAGCCAAAAAGTGAAAACAACCTAAAAGTATATCGGTAGATGAATGAATAGACAAAATGTTGTATATTCATACAATGGAATATTATTCAGCCATAACAAGGAATAAAGTACTGATACTTGCTACAACATGGATGAACCTTGAAATCATTATGCTAAGTGAATGAAGTCAGACATAAGGCTACATGTTGTATGAGTCTGGTTATGTTAAATGTTCAGGACATGCAAATCCATGCAAACAGAAGGTAATCTGGTGGCTACCAGGGGCTGAAGAGAGGGGAATGGAGAGTGACTGCTAACAGAGAGGGGGTTTCATTTTTGGGCGGTGAGATGTTCCAAAATTATATAGTGGTGATGGCTGTATGACTCTGTGAATATACTAAAGGCCATTTACATTTTTTTTTTTCTTTTGCGACGAGTCTTGCTCTGTTCTCCCAGGCTGGAGTGCAGTGGTGCAATCTTGGCTCACTGCAACCTCTGCCTCCCAGGTTCAAGTGATTCTCATGCCTCAGGCTCCCAAGTAGCTTGGATTACAGGTGCATGCCACCATGCCCGGCTAATTTTTGATTTTTTTTTTTTTTTTAGTAGAGACAGGTTTCATCATGTTGGCTAGGCTGCTCTCGAACTGACCTCAAGTGATCTGCCCGCCTCAGCCTCCCAAAGTGCTGGGATTACAGGTGTGAGCCCATTTACATTTTAAAAGGGTGAATTGTATGGTATGTGAATTACAGCTAGATAAAGCTGTTATTTTTAAAACAAACAAACAGCTTCTCCATTCAAAAAGCAAAAAATAAAAATAAAACATAAAATAGTGGACTAAATGGTAATACACAAAAATAGTGAAGTATATCTACTGGACTAAAGAAAGGTTATGCTGAGTCTAAAAAAAATTAAGTTTATACAGTAATGTGTATTTTATCCTATTTCCATAAAGTAAAAAACAAAAATCTGCATTATATAAACTTAATCTGCCTGTATATGTTTGTATGAGTATGGGGAAGGGCTGAACAAATAGCAGAAGAGGACACTGCTTTCCTCAAGATGGGGTGAAGGGAAGTTACTAGCTTTTTCTTTGTACATCGTTTCATCATTTTGCTTTATACAACTTTGCGTTGTTTGACCTATAAAAAGTCACTTTTATAATTTAAAAATTCCAATATAGACAAGTTAATACGGAGAAAATAGCATTTTAAGGAGAGTCACCTACTGTCCCCACAGGTAAGGCTAGTCCTGCCCACTCTGGCACCATCCCAGCATGAGGAGGGAGGGTGTCCAGGAGAGGGTGTTGACTCACAGCCTCCCAAATACTCAGGCTGTAAAGAGTTAAGGATGCAAATGCCTTGACCATATCTGTATCATCTCTGCTTAGTCCTGAACATGCTGTGAGCATTTCATTAGCATTTTAAAAAGGACAGTATACTTCCCACAGTGGAATTTTATGACTTAAAATTTTTCTTTTTAAGCCTAAAGGAAAATCTACATCAAATTCCAGGGGGCTCCTAGACTTCTGCCTTTTTCCAGTTTGAGCACACCTGGCAAGCAAAATAGCTGGCTTGAACAAAAGAGGGTCACAAAATGCAATATCACTAGTGTTGCTAAGTCAATTTCAGCATTAATCATATAATCAGGGTAATTAACCTAACTTTTAACATACAAACTGTGGCATAAAAGAAATAAAAACTGGTATTTATTCTATATTCTTCTTACCAAGGGCAGCATTACCCACTTAAGATAGTGCTGGCAATCATTTTCATGAAATACACATTTATCAATTTTTCATGGGAAATCTCCCCTTGTGTTTAGCCACAGCATCCACATCTGATGCCAATGCCTACTGCACATTAGCATTTTCTAGATGACAAACATAAAGCACCTTTTACAAATAAAGTGTCAAATATGTTCTCACCAATGTTATCATACAATATCCCCAAGGGAAAGGAGACTGCTGTGCAGAACTGATACTTGCCTGGAACAGAAATAAATATAAGATTCTTGAGTTTTCATTTCCTTTATAATTACTGTCCTCCCCCCGACTTTAATCATATTATTATAGATCTTTAAATATATTATCTAGTGAGTAAAAAACTCTGGTTCTGAAAGCAAATGAAATGATGGTGAGGGTGGCATAGAGATGCAGTTATTAAAAACTGGTTAAACAAGGATCCTCCTAGCATTTCAGATGGCTAAAGAAGCAATCAAAGGCTGTTGCTGACAGACACAGATTGCATGATAAAAAAGAATAAAAGGCATCAGAATAAAATTTGCTGTAAGTCTTCCCTGGATTAGTCTGTGCTTACAAATTAAAAATCCATGACTGACTCTTTTCATGGTCTCTCCTCTCTTTGCTTAGTCATAAGTCTTTCCAGGATACAGATTGGATATGGGTGGCTGTCTAGGTGTGGTAGGATCTTATTACATGGTAGTTTGCATTGTTAGGCCAGTTTTAGTGTTGGGTTTTTTTGTGTGTGTTTGTTTGTTTTCTGGTTTGTTTTGGGGGGGTGTAAGGGGGGCACTGGAATTACATTCCAAGAGCTGTAGTTTGTTTCTTTTGTGTGACTTTCACCCTGGGAAAACCAACAGAATAAAGATCATACACGGAACAAATGGGAGACTTCCTTGATCAAAATCTATTCTTCAGACGAATGTTTATTACCACTGCTAAGCCCTAAATCTACGTGCTTGAATAAAGAAAACATTTAACATAATCAGCTTATGGTATGTTTACAGGATGTGACATTTTGATTTGTATTTTTTGTACATCTAGTTCTTTAAACACCACAGCTTGGACACACAGTTTTGAAAAATCAAACAAAGATTTTTAAAATAATGCAATCAAGGAAAGTGAGAAGGCCAATTGCTGGCTAATTGGGCTAAAAATTATTGAACTCAGCTCTCAGCTGAGGTTCTTTTTATGAATAATTCCGTTGCTAACAGTTTCACGATTCTAATGTGTAACCAGCCCCTTGCTTCAGGTATGCTGTGGGTGTGGCATTCCACAGTGCACCTGGACACACTGTAAGGGAGATCTATGCTAGGAAAGATAGTAAGGACACCACACCTTTAGTGCCAGTGAGTATACTTTTGTCTTTGAGGAGTTTTCTAAAAAAGGTTTTTCCAAATCCACAACATCTGTGGTCAAAATTAGGTCAGGTTTCTCCAACTTAGACAACATCCTTTTGGAAGATTTGCCAAATTAAATCCTATTATCCAAATTATAAAGCTGGAGGATCTTAGAAATCATCTAGTCCAACCACTTCCTTTACAGATGAGATCACCAGGGCCCGTGGATGTTGACTGGCTTGCTAGTGATCACACAGGTGGGGCAAACCCAGACAAAACTCCGAGGCTTTCTGGTCCAAAAAACTCAATTAATCAAAGGGCTGTATTAAAAACAGGGAATACATTGTTTTAAATTCTTGACCTTGACAGTTTAATAAATCTGTTCAGAGAAAAAAAATAAACCTAAGACAGTGTAAATCACAAATAACTATTTAAAAAACAATTCAAAATACAACAGAAGATTTGTCACAAGGTAATACACAAATTTCCAAATGAACTATATAAAGTTTTATAACATATATTATTTTAATAGGAAATGTGTGAACATAAGACTTAAGTAGTCAAATAATTTTTATGGATAGAGGAGTTTGACCAAAAAAGTTTACAGACCTTTGCTGTAGGCAGTTCAAAGGCACCCTAAAAACTGGGTCTGGAGGGATTTTGCCCCCTGGGGGAACTTTGAAAAGATATCCGAGAAACTTTAGTCAATTCATCAAATGGCATAATCAAATGGTGGGTAATAAGTTTATTTATCTAGTCCATGATTATGTTTAATTTTTGGAGTTCGTAAAGAGACACAACCAAGATCAGAGGGTGAGTTGAAACACTTTATTTCTTCAATGCCAACATGCTTAATTATTTCTCCCTAATTGGAGCTCAAATTTAGGGAGTTATTTGAAGATTATTCATCTTCTAAATTACATACAACTTTCTTTTTCTCAGAAGTTTGTACCATTTTCTAAACATTCATATTCCTCCTCTAAATTGGGTGGAAGAAATAGGATCACCCATCTTATACTAAAGAGATGCATGTAATTTTATGCAAGGATGTCATAGGGACCAAATGAAAGTAATAGAAGAGATGCTTTCTACTGGTCTCCTTTGAAGACTGAATTAGGAAAAACCCTACTACAGATACATTCCAATCAGTCAGTTCTGAAAAAAATAATGTGCTGCCCAGGGCTCATACCACATCGTGAATTACCCCTAAGCCCATAATGGTATAGGCTCTTAGGACTAAAGGGTAAGTCTGAAGAGCAACAAACCAATCAGGTCACTGTTGCCCTAATTAAATGAATGTCCTCTTGGGGCCTCAGCAAGTGATTCCAAAGTTGGAAAGTCAGCCTGAGAGTGTGTAATTAATATGTCAGTAATGACTGTGAAGGCTGGGGCTTAATTCTGGAAGGCTCCCACGTTCAATACGATATAAAATACACTTGAAAATGATTTACTTTCCGCATAGGTTAAAATAGCAAAAGGCTTCGAGAAGGTTGGTGAATAGCTGCTGTCCTCTGCTATTGCAGGGCCCCTCCCCATCCTTCAGTGAGGCCCCCTCCCTTTAGGACTCTCTCTACCTAAAGGGTAGGGCCTGGCACAAGACCTGGCTGCAGCTCTAGGGCATAGACTGTGAGATCTTGGACTATTACCACTGGGTAGAAGCAAGTTGCAGAAGCCATAGAGAGACCACATAGGAGCAAGGATTGAATAACAATAAAAATCCTAAGAGGGTCTCACATAGCTGGGAGGGGAGAAGGGAGAGGAGAGGTGAGGAGAAATGGGACTCAGTCTGAGATTGTGTGGGAAGTAGAGCTGCCTAGGAGTGGGTATGGAGCACCTCAGAGGAAGGTGAGAACGTAGGAAAATGCAGTGGGTCCCCTGGTGACGCTGTGTGAGCCCCAGGCATGAACCTCCTAGATTTCCATCGGAACATATCCCCCAGTCCTAACTAATACCAATGTAAGAGTTTCCATGAAAATGCATGTTTAAAAAGGCCTGACAAATGCATAAAAGGGAAATTTTGTTTTCTATTTTAAAATGTATACTCAACTTGGCCATCACTGTATTTCCCAGTATTTCCCTTCAGGCTGAATTTGTTATGAAGGTGTGGAAGCAGCCAAACATACTTCTTGTGTAGGAATGTCTGGCCAAGCCATGCATGATGGGCGGGGACCATCCAGGGCTCTGGGAAACAGGAGTGCTCTCTAGGCTGCCATTATCCCTGCCTACTAGTCCCTGTGATTCTCTCTTATTATAAGGAATTGTCAGTCTCTTCTGTCACCAGCGTGGTACAGTGGGTGAAAGCACATTGTAAGAATTTTAAAATTTAGATATAATGCTGGCTCTGGCCCATAATCCCTTATTCACAACACCAAAACTTTAAAAGAAAAAAGAAAATATTTCCTAACCTGATGGCAGCAAAACCTGACCCTTGGGGAAAAAGAGATCCATCTCCCATGCAGAAGAATTTGGAATAACTTACATAAGTATTCTGCACTCCAGGAGGTGAAAATAGCTCCCCACTGCTTAAGTGGGGGAAGTGGCTTCCTTCCAAATAGTACAGTATAAAAACTGAAGAGGAAAGAGTACATTCATAGTGGGGAAACCTGACATGGTCATCATTAACAGTGATAACTCCTGTTGCTAGAGTGTCCCCTTACTATATCATGAGAATAGTACTTTACCTCTGTGGTCTTCAACTCTAAAATCCTATAACCCAGTCTATTCCTAAGAAAAACACCAGACAAATCCCAGTTGAGGTGCATTCTACAGGTACTGGAGCAGTACTCCTCAAACAGTCAAGGTCATCAAACACAGGAAAAGTCTGAGAAATCATAATAGCCAATAGGAATCTATGGGGATGCGGCAACTAAATGTAATGGGGTATCCTGGATGGATCCCGGAACAGAAAAGGACATTACGTAAAAATTAAGCAAATTTGATATAGTGTAGACTTTAGTTAATGGATCAGTATGGATTCATTAATTGTGACCAATGTACCATAGTAATATCAGATGTTACCAATAGGGAAAACTACATATAGAACATATGGGAACTCTCTGTACTATCTTAGCAATTTTCCTATAAATGTAAAACAGTTCTAAAATTTTAAGTTATTTTTTAAAAACTGACCTAAATAAGGCTGCTTATGGTCTTTGCATATCACAATATTCATTCATTATGTTTTTTTTTGTTTTTTTTTTGTTGTTGTTTTTTGAGATGGAGTCTCTCTCTGTCACCCAGGCTGGAGTGCAGTGGCGCTATCTTGGCTCACTGCAAGCTCTGCCTCCCAGGTTCACACCATTCTCCTGCCTCAGCCTCTTGAGTAGCTGGGACTACAGGCACCCGCCACCACACCCGGCTAATTTTTCGGTTTTTTTAGTAGAGACGGGGTTTCACCATTTTAGCCAGGATGGTCTCGATCTCCTGACCTTGTGATCCTCCCAAAGTGCTGGGATTACAGGCATGAGCCACCACGCCCGGCCTCATTCATTAAGTTTTGCAGTGGAAATATTAATGTATTGATGACTTCAAATAATAACATATTGAGACCCTGCCTCAAATATTTCAGATATAATGCAATATCTGCCTTACGCATATATTTCGAAACATTTGGATTTCTAAAATCAAAAAACTTGTGAATATTGAACACATTTGGTCCCAAAGACTTCAGGTCAGAGACTATGTACCTGAAATACTATTAGTGCTAGTAATATAATTAATAATGCATTTCAGTTATATGGTGGCTTTAACAGACATTTTCAGTCTAGCCTGAAACTCTAGATTGATAGCAGTGATAAGTATTTGTGTACAATAATCAGTATGTTTATAGAATAATCTAATTGGATCCTTAAAATCTGTAAGATAGAAATTCTTATGCACATTTTCTAAAGGAGGAAAATGAGCTTCAGAATGGTGAAGTCACTTGCAAGGACCTGCCCCTGACATTTTTGGGGCCCAATGCAAGAATAAAAATGGTGGTCCTCCAGCCCGCTGCTCCACTCCCCTTTTCATTCCTCTCGTCAAGCTCCATCCTGCACCAGAAGAGAGGACAGCCCAGCCAGTCTGTCTAGGTCCAGGACAGGGCCTAGTCAAGGAATTCCAGAACCTGAGTGCGTTGGGACAGAGGTCTCAAGTCAGCACGTGTTCATGGCCCTCCAGATGTCTCTCTCTCTCTGTGAGGAGGGCTGTGTCTTTCAGACAGTCAGAGTGAACCAGCCAAGGTGGGAATCTAGGGCAGGGTCCCAGACTCCAGGTCTAAGGACTGCAGGGCTGGTGTTCAAATACAGATTTGCCTGACACAAATGCTTATGCTCTTTCTACTCTAATATGCTGCCAAGGAAAAAAAATACACCCAAGGACCACAATATCAATTTGAAGGCTGATTTTTGAAATGTTTCACACGTTTTATTTGTACTTTTAATTGAGTACCAAAGAGCCTATCTTAAGGTCTGATATTCAGATATGATACTGGCAAAGCCATCTAGTTACAAAGCACCCTAATTCAATTTTTTAAAATTTAAAATGCTTAGATTTCTAAATTCCTCAACTTGATTTTTAAATACATCTTACAGGAACTTTCTGTGTGTCAGGCAGCCTTTTTGGAGATCGGTTCCTCACTAAGTGGTGCAGGTTCTAATGGCGCAAGTTACTGCTTTGCACCAATGGGAAAAAGGAAAGCCCTAACACAGGCTCCTTCCTTCTCTATTTACATTATCTTTTAAATGAAAATAGTTGATTTTTTTACACTGTATTTGGCAGTCTCTTTGTTGAGCATGTGTTACTGGGAAAGCAAATAGATATAATGAAAAGCTAGAGATGTGGAAATCTCTGGTAGTTTAGATTGCACTGATTTTCCTAGTATTCACCAGAAGCACATTTTTCCTCTCTCTTCACCTCCTTGGGTTGGTTCTGCATATGTGATTGTGAGATGTGTCAATGATACCAGTTCAGTCTCCCAGCCGGACAGAGTTCCCTGAAAGCAGGGGCTCTCAGTCAGTCTTCCTCTCCTAGGACCCCTCACAAACTTTGGTGCATTGCCCTCTGCCCAGAGATGCTCCATTCCCTGGTAGAGACTGAAAGCCAGCCGGAAACCCAGAGAAGCCTGGGAAGGTGCCTTACTGAGGTCACTGTCTGCCCAGGATATAAGCTTTAAATGGATGTGTCCACATTCCTGCAGACACTCTCCCTGGGCCTTCACTAGGCCACCAGTTCATCTTTTTGCTCTTTTTATTTCCTGAGCAAATGTATATCAGCAAAGGTGAGTCATTTTTCCAATCAGTGTGTCAATGCAAGGGATTACACCTGCCCCTACTGATGGAGTCATTGACATCTTACCTCGATTACTTTGCATGGCATGCTTCCAACAAGTAGTCTTTTCTATCTCTTACACATAAACAGAGCCCTAGAACGAGTCAAGGGTTTTCCCTCCCTCCCTCCTTCCTCCTGAGACTGTCATGTGAGCTCTGTGTTTCTTCACCCAGAATCCCCTGCACTCCACAAAAGGGAACTAGTGTCATAGGAGAGGCTGCTGGTCATGACAATACTCATCAAAGAAGGATGTTCTCTGGGGTTACTGGGAGCTTAGAACAGAGGGCAAGAGTCTCTTTGCTCTTTATAGCCTTTAGACATTACCTTCTATCCAAGGGGTTTTTTCCAAGATTGATCAATTAAGCCTCAGTTTTCAGTGAAGGAGGCATTTATCCTGTTTATAAGACAGACTTTAACTCAGTGCCCTGCACAAAGAATGAAAATATTCTTGGTTAAAACCACTCAAATGTTTATTGGATGCTGTTCACATAAACCTTATACATACTGTTCCCACTGCCTGGACCCTAGAGGAACTCCCATCCCTAACTCTCCCCAAGAACTTAGCACAGCTGACTCCTGCTCATTCATTACATATGGTTTCTTGAGAGGTAATCCTTGCTGCCCTGTCTAAATAGGTCTCCTCCACTACCACCCTCTGCACTATCCTTTAAGAGCAGTTTTATGATTCTTTTTAATTTGCTTATTAATTTTTTAGAGATGGGGCCTCACTATGTTGCCCAGGCTGGACTTGAACTCCTGGACTCAAGTGATCCTCATGCCTCAACCTCTTGAAAAGCTAGGACTACAGGCACACACTACCTCACCTGGTGTCACGGTTTTATAATTCAACATTTTATTTATTTACTAGCATAATCAAGTTAGGATAGTAAAGAAACTGGAATCAGTATGTGCAGACAGAAAGCAATTGATCCTCTCCTTCCTCTGCCTCTTTGAATCTGCTGTCTTCATATGTTCTTTCCTGTCTCTAGATGAAAAATCTCCACCAGTCCCATAGCTATCACAGTCACTTCCAAGTCTTAAACAAATAGTCTGTTTTCTAGGGTGATTTTAATATCAGAACTCTAAACCTAAGTTAACCAATGATTCCTCCCCTCTCACAGCTCAGATCTGCTTCTGATCCAGGCAAGGAAGCTCATCAGGAAGACAGCCTTGTCAGCTTTCTCCTCACTCCACCTCCTCCCATCTTTGTAGTTGTGGATTGTGGCTCTTCAGGTTTGGGGCAGCAGATGGAGAAGAGGGGAATATAGGTCTGTCTTGTCAGATGTCACTGTAATCTGGGGTTTTTACCTCTGCATCTGGCAGATAACCAAGCTTCCCAGGCCTGCTCTTTATGGGGTTTTCAGAGGCCCTGCCCCCCACAGCTGCTTTGCCAGGCAATAGTCTTTCGGGTTGGTCCCTTAAGAATCTTCCCCACCATCCCACTCTGCCACTCCATTCTAGAGACCTGTCTCTTTCCAGAGTCACCTCACTCCGTAGTTTCTCCCTCTTAAGTTGCTGCCAAGATGACCCAGTCTGCTCCTTCCTCAGAGTCAGTTTTTACCCAGTCAACTATGGAAGGGCTGGCCATTCTCAATACAGCATCTCTTCTCTCCACTGCCCCTGCCTCTGCCTTGAGATGCCTCATATGTCAGTCCCCAAGTCCCCCAGATTCAGGAAACACAGGACAGCGTTCTCTCTGAGTGGTTCCCTGGAAGCCTCCTCCCTACTAGTTTTGAGAGTGGGGGATACACAGCTCCTCCCTGCAGTGAGGGGAACCTTACAGCACAGTGACAACTCTCCTCAAGAAATCCCCTCTACCAACACTGAAACCTCCAAGAACGCTAAGCCTTCTCCTCAACCCTGGAGCCCTGGAGGTAGATGATGGGTTCTGACTGGCAGAACCAGTACCTTTTCCACCAGTCCTGCAGAGGTAGTCTAGCACCTCAGTTTAGAAAGCCAAGGGACTTGACACCTACTGCTTTGTTCTCTGGTGCCTCAGCCAAAACTGAGACAGAGAGATCCTGTTACACTTGTTTGTGGGCAGTCTCCCCCATTAAGCTATAAACTCCAGGAGGTAGGGACCTTGGCTGTTTTATTCACCAATGTATCAGCAGAATGCCCTGCATAAACTCCCAGTGGGTATTTAACAAATATTTTTTGAGATAACAAATATACAATAGGATGAAGATGGTGATGACACAGTCACCATTTTACTAAAGAAGGAAAAAAAAAGATGAGGGAACTTTTATGTTTATCAATAAAATATCTGATCTTGAAATAAGTTACCTTGTTATTCCTTCCCCTGAAAGAAGCTCCTGAAAGACCTAAGTTTAAATCTTAGAGCTAAAGTTTTTGTTTCAAGTCCAAAAATGCCTGAGGCTCAGACAGCGAATGCTTACACAAGAATTAACAGATTGGATGCTAGCTGATGATGCTAATGTCAATTCTTTGTCTAGACATGCAATGCCAGTTCTGCTGACACATTCTCTTAGAGCATTTTTTTGCAGGATGTGAAACTGGCCTCTGGGTCAGTGATATTCAGAAATAAATCTGGACCTCTGCAGAGAAAACCCTTCAAAGTAACCCTAACCCCCATGATTTGCCCTTAATGAGTCTCATCAAGCTCCTTTTTCACAGGGGCAGCCTTGGAAAAATAGGGAGGCACCACTGCATTTCAATGAGGCTGATGCCATGTTCTTCTCACTTGGCAAAAGCATGGGAAGGAAGAAAGAAGCTGAAAAAGCAAATTCCCCCAGACTCATTCCATGACAAACAGACCAAGTGCATAGGGATGGTGATGGATAACAAGAGCTGCTAGAAAAATAGCCTAGCAAATATCCTCCCCATGTGAAAACTTCTTCCATCCATCAATAAGGCACTGTGGGGTAGGAGGAGGTGTTTTAGAGTTCGGCCTCCAGCCCCAGGAGGAATGGGAAGGAGTTATGGAGGGAGTCTTGCCTTACAAGTTTGTGCCTGCAGTGTACACACAGCTTCCTCACAGACAAGTCTCATTCCCCAATTCCCTTCTGTGCTCTTCAGCAGAACTGATGACAGAGAGAAGACTCCATACGCCAAGTCAAAGCCAAGGAAACTGTCTCTTGTAATAATTTCCACTTAAAAATAAATATTTAAGAGAATAGAAATTTTGATTGAATTAAGATTCACCTAAGAAGGATTCTTCCAAACACAAATATAACAGTTTCAAAATTCTGCAATAGAAATTTAGACTTTAGAAAATGTGTCTTCAGATGCCCCACACTTTACAAGTAAAGACACTAGGCTCTTAAGATGCTAAGTGACGTGACCAAGGTCACACAGCTCTTCTCACTGGAGTCTGCTTCTTCCAACTCTAGCCTCTTGCTCTTTCCACTGTTATACAGTCTTCCGTGTATAGTTAGGCATTTCTTCACCTAGCTCAGGTAGGGATCAGATAACTTGATTTAATAGTTTCCAGTTTTTATAACTACACATCATTCTATTGCTCTAGCATATATTAAACCAAAAGAGTGTCCCTGATTCCAGAAATTTAACTTCAGAGTTACACAAGATGTGTTGGCCTAAGCACATAAACTGAAGTTTTATCCTAACGCTGACTCTGACTCACCAGAACGTGTTGGGCTAGGCATGAAATTGTCTCAGTTTCTTCATCTGTTCAGTGGGGAGAGTAATGCTGATCTGTACTTATTCATTTAAAGAAACTGCCTGCCTAGAAACTACCGAATAATTGTGGTGAAAAAGCTTATGAAGATTCTAATTATAAACTAAAGCCATATAATGAAGGCATCAAAACACATAATTCAGACGCTTTCTAATAATCATGACAGACAGTATTTTAGTGTGCCGAACAGACAGGTGACTGCTACCAATCAAGCATATTTCCACAAAAAAAATCATTATCATATTGTTTCAACATATCAGAGGTGTTGATTAAGCCAACAGAATTTGAGAGACAAAATTAAAATGGAAATTTGCCTCAAACCTGCTGAGACTGGGTACATAGCATGTTCCTGAGGTTTTATCTGCCAAACAAATCTTCCCATCAGCAGAAGAAAACTAGGAACTATTTTCTCATGACCAAAGAGTCCCTGTGTGACCAATAGTCCCTCTCACAGTGTCAATTTTGTGAAGTCACCGTAAGAAAAGAATTCCAGACAAAAGATAGGCAATAGCAATAAGTCCGATGATGAAATTGAACCAAACTTCTGTTTTGTTTCTCACTGACAATATTCTGTACCACATTTTCTAATACTGAGCTAACAGTGGGATTCATGTGGATGGATGGGATAAAAATTAATTTCTTTTTTTATTTTCAAAAATGACCATAAGATGGTTTTAAAGTGCTGATAATGTCCTGTTGCTGATCTGCACAGGCTATCTAGACTACGGCAGCATAAGTAATCACTTTGACACTTACCTAAAGAATTGTGTGGTTGGCAAAATGAGAAAGAAAAAGAGGTGGTGGCTTCTTTAATCAGTCTTCAATAGAACAGCTAGAATGATGTAACAAAGCCTTACCAAATTATTTGTTCTTTTGTTTTTTTGGGGTTTTTGTTTTGTTTTGTTTTGTTTTGTTTTGTTTTTGAGACGGAGTCTCGCTCTGTCGCCCAGGCTGGAGTGCAGTGGTGCGATCTCGGCTCACTGCAAGCTCCGCCTCCCAGGTTCACGCCATTCTCCTGCCTCAGCCTCCTGAGTAGCTGGGACTACAGGCGCCCGCCACCAAGACCAGCTAATTTTTGTATTTTTAGTAGAGACGGGGTTTCACCCTGTCAGCCAGGATGGTCTGGATCTCCTGACCTCGTGATCCGCCCGCCTCGGCCTCCCAAAGTGCTGGGATTACAGGCGTGAGCCACCGCGCCCGGCCCCAAATTATTTGTAACAAGGTTAAAAGTAGTTTTTACAACAGATCTTCTTTCGAAACAGTGATGTCATTAGGCATTCTGTTTAATGCCACATAGAAAACTACGAATAAAACCATAAATTATTCACAGATGATAATAAATATTTAAAAAGTAATAATGACAATGTTGGAATAATTATAAGTGTACCTACAATTGAGGGCTCATGAAACTCTTTCCACTTCCAGCTGTGCATAATCACAGAACATGGGGCACTAAAGTTATCTGGTACTGTGGTAGAGACAGGTAGGGCTTGCTGACTATCCATGTGCGCTCCTACATTTCCCAGCTTCCTTTGCACTTAAGATTGAGGTCATATGACTAGTTCTGACCAATGGACTTTGATACAAAGTAACCGTGTCACTTCTTGACTGAGGCAGTTAAGAGCCAGTGTGCTTCATTCTTCACTCTCTTCCCTTTTCTTCCCCTGCCTCAGCAACACTGAGAGCCACATGTTCCAGATGGTATACTGACACAGACAGGGAAGCTGCTGAGTCACAATGAACTTTACATGAGTGAGAAGAAAACTTTGCTGTGTTAAGCTAATGAGATGTCATGGGTTGATGTTGCAGCACTAGGGTTAGTTACCCTGACAAAAAAAAAGGCTGTATGTTAATGTGTTTGCTGTGGCCTAGAACTTAAATTTAAGCTGCTGACACTAGGCTTCTAAAAATAGCATTAGAGGAAAAATAATATTCCTTTTTTTGTCTATTTAAATGTTCTCACTTTTCCTGGTCCTGCACAGTCTAAAGCAGTGGTTCTCAAAGTGTAGTTCCCAAGACCAATAGCATCAGCATCACCTGAAGACTTGTTAGAAACATAAATTCCCAGGCCCTGCCTGAGGCCTGCTGAATCAGAAACTCTGGCAGTGGGTCCTAGCAATCTGCATTTTAACACATCTTCCTGGTAATTCTGGTGGAATTGGTCTAAGGCAACCTTTCCTTGAGTCCACCTGAATGTGATGCTCTTCCTTGAGTCCACCTGAATGTGATTCTCATGCAGCTAATTTCTCCCTTTATATCACATGCGGTCAGCAGACAACTTATGTTCAAATTCCTACTTTTTATGCCCCTCATTTTTTTTCAAACATCAGCTTTTACAGTGATTAATTGCACATAGCCTTGCTATATAGATCAGAGATAACTGCAAATTCTTTGTCATGCCCCCACTGAAAGGTGGAATCTGTTTCTCCACCCCCTTAAATATAAGTTGGGCCTGTAACTGCTTTGGCCATTGGAATGTGGCAGAAGTGAAGCTGTGCCAGTAAGCCTAGACTTTAAGAGGACTGGCAGCTTCCATGCTATGAGGAGGCAAAAGCAGCCTCAAGGAGAATTAAGACCCCCAGCTGACAGCCCCAACTGAGCTACCAGCTGTCAGCTAGCATCAACCATCCACTATGTAAGTATGCCATCTTACATGCCCTGGGCCAGTTGAGCTGAGATTGCTACAGCCCCAGATGACTTTATGTGGAGCAGAAGAACCTCCCAGTTGAACACAGTCAGCCCAGAGATTTAGGAGATATAATAAAATGGCTATTGTTTTAAACCACCAAGTTTGAGGGGAAGAGGAAAGATATAAAGCAATAGAGAATCAAACATTCACTTTTATTGTTTTTGAAAAGTACTATTAAAGTCAAATTTTAATAGGTTCTACTTACCAAAAATTTCTCTCTGGTTCAAACAAACTAACTTAACATGGCTCCTTGCAATGACCTTTTCCTAATATTTCCCTCTCCTTTGGCTTACATTAAAAAAAATGTAAGTTGTTTCTCCAACCTTGGCTCTGGAAGCTTGTAGTAATTTTACTACCTATCCCATGGGTGTCAAATAGACATCTGAGTCTTTGTCTTCTACATCCATAACTGTTAAGGCGAAATACAAAGAAATGGAAGCAAGAAGTTCATAATCTCGTCAGAGAATTTCAATAGAGTTTAGTTAAGGGAGGAGTCAGATTTTTGCAACCTAAATAAAAATTCTCCTTTCCACATTTATCCCTAAATGTAGTAACCAAACAAGATCAAGAACATGATTACCAGAAAGTTTACAGCTGCAAAAGCATTATCCTAGTTCTGAATTTCTTTGGGAAAACACATACTTGCAAAATGAAAGATAAACTAATATTAAGTGATCATAGCTATTAACTGATAGCTGAAGACAGCTTGGGCAGGTTGATGTTCACAAATATGTTACAGCACTTAGGAATCAATTATTTAAAGCTAAGAGTCAAAAGCTAAGTATTCAAAGTATAAGTACATGCCGAGAGGCTACAACTAGCAAAAGAGCAACTTGCAAAGACCTCTAACCCAGAAAAATTATATGGGCAGTAAATTTTAGAGGGTGAGGAGCATACCCGTATCTCTCTATCTCCAGAACCCAGCAAAGTGTTCGGTATATAAAAGTGGCAAACATGGTGAAACCTCGTCTCTACCAAAAATACAAAAAAAAATTAGCTGGGCATGGTGGTGCGCACCTGTAGTCCCAGCTACTCAGGAGGCTGAGGCAGGATAATCGCTTGAACCTGGATTCACTTGAACCCAGAGGTTGTAGTGAGCCGAGATCACGCTGCTGCACTACACCTTGGTGACACAATGAGACTCCGTCTAAAAAAAAAAAAAAATGGTGTCTGGGTATGTGTTTATGAACGAACAAATGAATGACAGTCATAGCAAAGAAAGAAGCAAAAGAGGCCAAAGTGGAAGTAAAGAAGTGATAAAGAAGAATTTCAAATATAAATACCTCCAAGCACAAGCATCACTAAATGTCTTAAAGGTGCTTTCTCAACTAAAAGCAATTGGGATACAAACCTTAGTCATGTAAATAGCAGCGGCTAAACAGGCTCTGCAGCTTTGAGCTTCCCAAAGCAAGTCAGGTCTGGGAAGAGGAAAAACAAGGCTTTCAGCACCTTAAAAAGTGCTAAAGAAAGGGCAGGTCTCAAACTCCGTTTTGGTCAGTCTTTCAATCTTTGAAAGAATGGAGTCAGTAGTCATGTTATAACAAGATGGGTCATCTGGTATTAACAAAGTTAATTCTATATGTACATAGAAGCCTCTGTCTACCTGAAATTTTTAATATATCAAAATTCTTAATGATAACTTTCAAATATTAATGTTTCCACCAAAACGGATGCATTTTCACTTAGGACAATAATCATTGGTGACAGTCATAATTGTTATGTTCTGGCCGTCAAGACACCTAATTATGTTTTACTGCCTCAATTTTTCATTATTTGACTTTACATAAGTATATTAAGTAATTGTTCATTTTCTTGCTATAATTCTCAGAGGCCGTCCTACCAAGTATATGTATAGAAACAAATAGCCCCTCAAGTGTCTGATTGCCTAATTCTCATTATTTAGCAATACTTTCTGAAATAAAAATGAGTACAAAGACACTAATAAATAAAAATTTAAAAATAACATTTCAATAAGTGAAACTCAAATCTTTGTTTTTCACATCATCCAAAAAAAGGCTCTATAAATGCATTAGGTTATATATATTTGCCATGTTTTACAATATACAAAATCAGACTCAAATTTGGACTTGTAAGGGAACTTTTTTTTACAAGCTTGTCCAAATCCTCATTCACAGATGGAAAAATCTGAGGTTTATAGAGTTGAAATAACTTAGCCTCATTAAAGTAAATGTTTACCCAAGCACCATTGTTAATGGTTAGACTCATCCATTCAATAAACATATATCTAGCAGGCAGCTGGGGACCAGGCACTCTACCCGCCCTGGGTCCTGCCCTCAAGGCACTCAGTTTAGGAATCGGCCCACATGAAAATGACAATTCAATTCTGGGTCACAGCTTCTGTAAGAAAAGTTAAGTGGTATCAATAGCAAGAGAGCAAATTCAACTGGGTCAGGGGATTAGATGGGGGAAGATGCTGGAGAAGGCTTCACAGAGGAGATTTAAGCTATAGATTAAAAGTGCATACAGGTGGCACACTATCCCCACCTCAGTGGAGTCTCAGTTAACCCAGCAAGTCCATTTCACAGGTCAGATAAGAAGACTGTGTGAGAGTTCCTGTTTTTACAAGAGAAATCATGCCTGTAATAGAGTCATGTGGGAAGGAAAATTGCATCACTGTTATTACATCCTCTTATAAATATTGTTTATATATACATCCAATTACTTCTTATTATGGTCATTGAATTGTCTTTTACAGCAATTTACTTTTAGTTGTTACAATATCATTATGTTGAAGTCGGAAGAAAGAAAACCGTTCTCCCTTATTGAAACTCAGACATTGTAACGTGGAGTGATTTTCCCAAGAATCTGGTAAGTCAGCAGCACCAGAGTGTCAAACTTCAGGGTCTGTTTCTAATCTACTGAATCATACTGCCTCTTGGAAATGGGCCTCCTTTTGGATGTCTGACTGGATAAGATTAGGTAATAACACAATAACTAGCAAACACCAAGAGCTAATTAGTACATGCCCTGTGAAGGTGTTTCAGATGTGCTTTATTTTGAAAGAGGAATGGGAAGCTGCCAAGCCTCACACAAATCATGTTTATTCCTGTATTTAAGCTGAATTATACACAATTTTTAGTACATTTTTAAGTATTTTCCCACTGCACCTCCACCATACCTCTTCTCATGTGAGTAGATTAAAGACACATTGTTGAAAGTTCACTTGGGGCTGAAGAAGAAGAAAATATATTCAATGACAAGGAAATACAGGAAGTGCCAACCTAGTATAATTTAACATTTATAGGTATCAAAGTCTGATAAGAGCTTCAAATTTCCACACTCTGCCCAGAGAAAAATACTATCTTTTTGCTTAATCTGCCTTTTATGCTGTGCCTGTAAAATACAGAATAAAGTGTTAGTCGATGTAAACAATTAAAAAGTGCACAACTCAAAAATTTTTTTGAGATGGAGTCTTGCTGTGTTGCCCAGGCTGGAGTGCAGTGGCACAATCTCAGCTCACTGCAACCTCTGCCTCCCAGGTTCAAGCAATGCTCTTGCCTCTCAGCCTCCCGAGTAGCTGGGATTACAGGCACACGCCACCATGCTTGACTAATTTTTGTATTTTTTTAGTAGAGACGGGGTTTCACCATGTTGGCCATGCTGTCTCGAACTCCTGACCTTGTGATCTGCCTGCCTCGACCTCCCAGAGTACTGGGATTACAGGTGTGAGCCACTGTGCCTGGCCAATTCAAATTTTAAAAGGAATATGATATAGCCAATTGGAATGTCTACATTGACCAAATTAATGAGATTATTGCTAAATCATTTTCCTTTGTTCTTTCTGGGGATTCTCCTAAGCATGGGCATTTATGGAATGAACTTGTAACCACAGAAGATAACAAACATTTAACTCCTCAAATGGTCAACATTTATGTGTACACTCAAAAAGAAAAAACTTGTAAGCTGGCCTGATGCCAATGTCAAATACTCGGCTACACACCCTCCTAACATTAGCGCATGCCGCCCCTCCACTCTGTCACTATGTGGCTGACACCATGTGCCCATTGGTCGTAGGGTTGTAAGTAAGAGAACAGAGCTCATCCAACACAAACCATCTCCATAAACAACTCAAGTTTATCTTTACAAGCTGTAGGACTTCTCAGAAGAGCACAGAATAAAATCAACAATAGCAGCTTTGAATAGGATTTTCAATAGCAAGACTATACATAGCAATAGAGATATAGACTTTAGTAAGATCAAACCTGTTTAAGAACATTGGTTAGGCAAACTGGGGCATGGTGTGGGTGTCCGCGTTTGCTCCTTCAGGTAGAGCAGTTATACCCCACCCATCTGGGAATAAGTAAAGAGGAATGCAATTCCCTATTCTGCATTTATCAAATTGTTTTTTTCTGGGGGAAAGGATGAACTTTTAGCTGGTGGCCACACAAAAAGCCACTAGTGTGAGGTGTCTATGTTACTTATCATTTGAGTAGAAAACGAATCTAATTGGAGAATGCCAACCATTTCTATGCGATGGAGGTTTAGTGTTGCCAGCTCGCTAACCTTCTCAAGAGAAGCCAGAAATTCAGATGTTTGTTGTAAAGTCTCCTGATTTATTTTAACATCAAAAATCCAAACAAAACAGGTCAATATACTTAATTTGGCCCATTGGCCACCAGTTTAAGATGTATTACATACATAGGAATTATCATTCACTGAATTATGAATGCAGTGAATCATTAATGTATAATGAATATACATTTATCTGAATGTATAATGAATATACATTTATCTGACAAATTCCTACATATTTATGATTATCCCTATATTAGTTTAATTCTATGCATAATTTTCTCGAGTTAACTGGCGGCAATCCCACTATATGTTAACTAAAGAAGATCCAGCTATGAATAAGGTAACATTTCTAACATCAAAAAGACACAGTGTAATGGTGAATAAAAGTCAGGAGGTAAGGAGTGTTACAATAGAGTGAGGAGTGTTACAATAGAGAAATATATTCAGGATGAACAAGGATAAATTGATAGGGGTAATGATGCCAGATGAAGTTGGAAAGACCAGGTAACAAAGGCCTTATGTGTCATGGTGATGAGGATACCAGCAGCTATCACTGCTGAACACAGATAATGCATGAAGTGCTGTGCTTACACTGTAAATACATTACCCAACATAACTCTCGCACCAACCAACTCAGGAAGAGATTATCATTATCTCCATTTTATAAGTAAGAAATTTGAAGATTGGAGAGGTCAAGTAAACTGTCCAAGGCCATAGCTGTGTGTGGCAGAGTCAGAATCTGGGCTCAGAGCATTTATCTAACTCTAAAAACCGTGCTTTCAGCCACCATGAGTTTGCCAAAAGAATTGAGATTTCAGCCTATAAGTAATGAAAGCAAATGAAGAATCTTAGACCTGCATTATTCTATTCTGTTCTCACAAGATTCTGTGATCTAAATAATGAAAAGTATGATAACTTTTATATCTGAAGAAATCAAGAAAGGTTAAGCAATTTAAAGCAAGAGAAACAACGGGTTCCTGGCACCCAAATAGCTCAATCTCCAGCCCAGGAATAATGTTGATTTCACATGGTTGGCAAATATTACTTTCCAAATACTTGATATGCTTTCAACAACCACACTTCTTCAAATTCAGAAGTTCCAAGAGCATATTCCCAATTAAATCCTCTCCCCAGTAGAACCCTAGCTATTTCTAGCCAAGTGGTTCCTAATTTAGGATGTCAATCTAAGAAATACAAAATGACTACTGTGACAAAGAAGAACAGCCATCATCAACTTCTCCACAGCCAACTGTGTGTGCTGAACTACAAACTCCATTTGAATATCAATATGAAATAATGGTACACTAAGACTTTTCTTTTGTGTACTAGTAACCCTTTTTATTCCTTGCAATGGATGTAAAGCATTTAAGCAATCAACTTTCTAGGTTCTAGCCACATTTTATTTATGTCTGATGAGAGTTTGCCCTCCCACCCTCTTAAAGTTTTACTGCAATAAAAATTTAATACCACTTCTATTGTTCAGGTCAAAATTAGTAATTAGAAGGGGAATATTATTTATAACAGTGACATAACATGGTCGGACCTAGAATATGACAAAGATAATTATCTACTTACAGAAGAAAATAGTCGCATAAATGGAGCTATATCCTGGCCACTTTTGTTCCCCAGATATGCCACAAAACTGATTATGTCATCTTAATGCTTTCCAGAATGAAAAAAATACAGCAACTTTCTTCATAAAAAATAAACATAACAGCAACGACTTGTTAAGCACACACACACATATATATACATATACATATATATATGTATATATATACACATATATATATGTGTATATATATATGTTACAAGGACATTGTGAGAAAGCTATACTACCCCAACTTTTTCAGAGGAGAAAACTAAAACTCAGAGAGGTTAAATTTTCCAAGATTAGGTAACTAGTAAGTGGAGATCTAGGAATTGAACCCAGAAAATGCTGACTCCTAGACACTAAGCCCTAAAACACTAGGAAGTCTTAGGCATTGGAGAGAGAAATAAAGGGAGAATGCAAGAGGTAGTGATAAAAGGAGCTTGAAGTTTATATGAGACTTTATATAGGAAGATCTTAGAGAATGGAGATTATTAAACTAAATAAGCATAAAATGTAGATATGGCAAGAAATCAAATAAAATATAAAGAGAAATTATAGAATGGGAATGATATTTGCAAAATAGATGACATACAGCAAACCAGGAATAGAGGAGAACTTCCTGAAAATTATAAAGAACTTCTACAGAAGACCCACAGCTCACTTCATACATATAGGTGAAAATCTGGACACTTTCTCCTTTAAATTAGGTGCAAGGTGAGGATGCCTCCTCTCACCACTCCTTTAAGCATTGTACCAGAAGTCCTAGTTTGTGCAATAAGACAAAAATAGGAAATAAAAAATAAACAAATTATAAATGAGGAAATAAAACTGTATTTACAAATAGCAATGATTGTCCATGTAGAAAATCCCAAAGAAACAACAATAACAACAAAATTCCTGGAACTAATAAGCAAGTCCAATTCTTTTTCTGTATAAAAGCAATGAACAATTGGAATCTGAAGCTTAAAAAATAATACCATTTAAAATAGCACCCAAAAAATAAAATAAAATACTTATGTATATATACAAAATCTATATATCAAAAAATATGAAATTCTGATGAAAGAAATAAAAACCATCTAAATAAATGGAGAAATATTGTGTTTATGAATTAAAACACACATTGTTAAGGTATCAATTCTTCCCAACTTGGCCTGTAACTTTAAAGCAACCCCAACCAGAATCCCAGCAAGGTATTTCGTCTCTATTGAAAAACTGACTCTACAGTGTATATGGTAAGGCAAAAGACCTAGAATTGCCACCACAATAACTAAAGAAGAAGAACAGTGTTGGAGGACTTAATATAAAGCCTTAATATAAAGCTATAGAGATCAAGACAATGTGTTATTACAAAAATAATAGACAATGCAACAGAATAGAGAGTACAGAAATAGACCTACATAAATATGATCATTTTATCTTTGAGGAAGAAGCAAAGGCAATTCAATGAAAAAAAGGATTGTCTTTTCAATAAATGGTGCTGAAACAGTTAGATAACCATATGTTAAAAGAAAAAAAAGAACCTAAATTCATACGTCATACCTTTCATAAAATTAATTCAACTGGATCCCAGACTTAAATGTAACATTCAAAATTATAACACTTCTAAAAGAAAACATAGGAAAATACCTGTGTTCTTGGGTTTAATGATGAACTTCATTTATAACACCAAAAGCACAACCTATGAAGGGAGAAATTCATAAGTTGGACTTTGTTAAAGTTAAAAATGTGTGCTCTGTGAAAGACACTGTTACGAAAATGAAAAGACAAGCCACTACTGGGAGAAAAAAAACTGCAAATATGTATTTGATAAAGGACTTAAATTCAAAATATAGAAAGAACACTTAAAAATCAACAATAGGAAAACAGACCAACTAAAAAACAGACAAAAGATCTGAACAGACACCTCACCAAAGATTATATACAGATAGCAAATAAATATATGAAAAATTGCTCAACATAATTTGTCATTAGGAAGTCACAAATTAAAACAACAAGATACCACTATATATCTACTAGAATAGTTAAAAATCTAAAAACTGATGATGCCTATTGCTAGCAAGGATGCAAAACAATATGAATTCTCATTCATTGCTGATGGGTACAACCACTTTGGAAGACATTTTGGCAGCTTTTTACAAAGGTAAATATGGTCTTACCATATGATCTGATAATTGCACTCCTAGGTATCTACCTAATTGACAATTTATGTCCATGCAAAAACCTGAGCATGAATGTTTTCAGAAGTTGTATTTATAATCAGCAAAATCTGGAAGATGGTAAGAAATCCTTCAATAAATGAATGGATAAGCAAACTGCAATATATCCATATAATGGAATATTATTGAGCAATAAAAAAATGAGCTATAAACCCATGAAAAGACATGTATTAATCTTATATACACATGGCTAAGTGAAAGATACCAGTCTGAGAAGACTTACTCTATGATTCCAATTATGTCACATTCTGTAAAAGACAAAAGTAGTGAGAAGATAAAAAGATCAGTGGTTAGGGGGCTCATACAACTGAAGCACCAGAGATATTCCAGATCATTGAAACTATCCTCTGTATTACTGAAATGGCAGATACATGAGAGTTGGTCCAAACCTTTACAGCACAAAGGGTAAACCTTAAGGTATGAAAATTTAAAAATATAATTTAGGAGCTCAAAGGATACCAGGATAGCCTGCAGAATGTGACAAAGCAGTCTAACTGTATTAAAAAATTATGAAACAACTTCACAGAAAGGAGTGGGGACAAAAAGTGCTAACCCAAATAGCTTCGGAAGTAAGTGGAATATGTAAGACTAAAGGCAAAAAAACTGTCATAAATATTGAACTCTTGTTGATAAAGTTGTTTCCCCTGCGAGTATGGGTTAACAATTCTGATATCATATATATAATGCAACAAATTAAAAAATGAATGACAGCTGAGGAAAGCCAGTTTTTCTCATTGTTGGAGGGAGATTACAGATGAGCAAGAGGAAGAGGCTAGAATTACACAGGTAGTAATAAATTAGCATTGTGGATGTTAGTATAAACTCATATTGAGCATAATATAGACAGATGGTTACATATAGAAAAATATATTCATATATGTATATATAGATACATTTCCTTGTTTTATCAGCTGAGGTGGCCTTGAGGCAATGACACTGCCACAGCAGCAGGCATATCTAGTGTCCAAATGTTAGCTTGTTTGTTTTCTAATACAGTATCCAACAAGAGGAACCAGGGCTCCTTGGAGAAGTGGCTGATTCTAGAACTGGGACAGAAAATATGCAAGTTGAGCCTGGAGTATCTTTAGTCCCAGAAAGCTAAGGAAGTGCTCAAAAACAAAACAAAACAAAACAAAACAAAAGAGGTGCAATTATGTCAAATGGGCACAGGAGACAGGAGCGAACTGAAAAAATTTCTTCTAGTTAATAAGTGGGGTGAAGGAGGAACACTAAAATAAATAACATAATATCAAATTAGAACCCAAAATATAAAATTAACATCCACTGCTCTACAGCACTTATTGACAAAAATAAGTGATTGAAGAAATACATAAATAGGGGAGAAGAGAACAAACAATCTCACTGAGAGAAGAATTACAAATAATTTACGTAGACATTGGACCCTCAAAAAGAGGTTGAGCATAACTCTCCATTCTTTAAGTGTTTGGGCTACACACAGAGTGCAGTGGTGTGATCTCGGCTCACCACAACCTCCGCCTCCCAGGTTCAAGCGATTCTCCTGCCTCAGTCTCCCGAGTAGCTGGGACTACAGGTGTGTGCCACTACGCTCAGGTAATTTTTGTATTTTTAGTAGAGATGGGGTTTCACCATGTTGGTTGGCCAGGATGGTCTCTATCTCTTGACCTCATGATCTGCCCACCTCAGCCTCCCAAAGTGCTGGGATTACAGGCATGAGCCACTATGCCTGGCCTCATATACACATTTTTAAAATAAAGAAAAAGAAAATAGGGAAAAGGCTGAGAGGGATGAATGGAGGTTGGAGGTGAGGACACAGAAGGCAGAAACACAAGACAATGGTGAGATCCTAAGCCCTTGGGAAAAAAGAGAAATCTTGGAATCTACTCTTTCCCAGGCTATAGATCTGAGATCTCAAGGTTGTCCTACCTAGATCTTAAGAGTTAGAAATCTCCAGCTAATGTTTGGTTAATATTAGTCAACATCTCATATTATTCTCCTAAGATTGTGCTAACTTCTCCCTTACCCCTTACCTAAACCACCACCATACATCCAATTACTTAAGCTAAAACCTAGGAGTCATTCTTGATTTTGCCTTTTCCATTACCTCCCATAACCAACCCATCAGCAATTCTATTTCCAAAATAAACTTTGAAACTATTTTCTTGTCTCATTCTCACTGCCACCCCTGGTCCCAGACACCATCATTTTCTTCCTGGCTGACTTTAAGATAATTCTATTTTCCCTTTACACACTCTTGCTTTGTATACTCCATCCTTTCACAGCAGAGTGATATTTTAAAGCAGTAAGTAAAATAAATTATTTGTTTAAAGTCATCCCGTGGGTTTCCATAGCTTTGAGGATTGAATGCAAACCCTTATGGTGTGGGAGGGAACCTGGCCTGTCCTGCTGTACCACCCACTCTCAATAGGCTCCCACTATGCTGCCGGCCTTCTGGTCCCTGCAAGTGCCAAGCTTTCTCCTGCCACAGGACTTGTGTTCTCGCTATTTCCTGGAAGTGTCTTTCTCCTTCTCACTCCATTTTCTCATCTTTCCTTGTCAGCTCCCATGTCCCTCCTTGTGGAGGTCTTCCCTTTATATTTTATTCAAAGTTGTCCCCACTTACCACAGGCTTTCTTTATTTCCTTCATAGCACTTGTTAAGATTTACAACTTACTTATGTGCTATTCTTCCTACTAGAGGCAGAAAACCGTGGCTCTTTCACTGCTGTATTGCCACTGCCTGGAACAATACATGGAATGTATAGTAAGCACTCCATAAATATTGACTGGGTGAGAGACTTCTTTATTTAGATGTTCTCCTGTGCCTTTAGGTACCACTGGCCTGCCACCTCTCTCTTCCTATGGCTTAGGGAAATCCACAGGGCTTGCTACCCCATATCTTGACTTTTGTGTAGCCCTTTCTTGCTTCCACACCAGACTTCCTACAAATTGACTCATGCAAACAGGCCTCAGGTGGGCTGTGGGTGGGAGCAATCCCTTGGGTCGCCCTAAAGGCCCAGGAGCAGCTGAATCCCAGTAGAGGCACAGATTGGGCTGAAGCTGAGATTCTTGATGTATTCATCATTGAAGTCTGTGCCAGTTATTCAGTAAAGCGACTTTTCACAGATGTAATATATATCTTAAAGACTTCTGAGAAAGAAAATGGAGATTGCATTGCCCTTTCTGAAATCAGTTTTAATCAAAAAGAGGTTAGAGAAACTCTATGGGGTGAAAGGCATATTCTTGTGGGTCTGCAGTTGTCACACGGTTTTGGTTTTATGTTTGTATTTTCATTTTAATAGTTCTGTAAACAAAAAATTCACATGAGCACATTTGGGGTAACCTGGAAAACTGTAACAGAGCACTGTAGCGGCCTTTTCAGTCCTTTACAGGCATTTGTGATTAATTGTTACCAACTAAAGGCCAAATGGTGTTAGTTCCCTCACTGTAGAAACGGAGGTTTTACGGTGGTTTAAACAGAGTTGTGTTCCTCAACGTTTGTTGCCAAATATGTGTGCCCACATCACTTGTTTGGGGTAAAACCTCTCACAGAACCTTGACTTTCACTGTTAATCTTAGGAGTCTGAGGGCTTCAGTAGCAGCCCACAGGGGCCTCTCCAAAAACACAGTGGGGAAGTTGAGTGAGCAGAACTTGACCTTTCGTAGCCCTTGTTCCTGTTCTCCAAACCCTGGCTTCTCGTCTTCACCAATGCAGCCCCCCTTTTCTATTTTGTACATCAGTCTTTGTGTAACCAGCCTGTTGATCAAAGTGCATTGTAAAACAAGTTTATAAACACTTGCCTAGACCATTGCAGTTCCAGGTAAGAATTTAAAATATTACAAAAATTTGTAATGAAGATTTTATTATAGCCTTATTCAGAAGGAAAATATGGGAAACTGGCTCAAACTCAGAACCATAAGCACAAGTAAATTTCCATTTAAAGCAAAATGAAACACATTTCAGTTATACCACTTAAAGTATTGGAATGGGATACTTCACCCCTCTCATGTCGTAAAGAATGTTACAGAAAACCTCAGGGTGTCACAGTGAATCAGGGGTAGAGCCAAGACTAGAACCTAAGGTTTCTCACTTTTGTTCCAGCACTCCTTCCATTATTCTGCCTTGTCCCCACATCCTTTTTCTCTCAAAATTACCTCATTGAGGGAGGCTTAACATTTCTAGGAAAACTCATGTGTGTGTGTGTTTTTTTTTTTTCTCAAAGCGTTTTGAGGGGTCTATGACCAGAACCAAAAGTGGTCTTTAAGCCAGAGTGGATACATTTGCTAATCTCTTAATGTTAACTTTTGTTTTGTCTGGTCACAGCATATTATTCTTTTCTACTTTATTCTTTTGCTTCAGCAAATGCCTTGAGTGTAAGTAAGACTTTTAAAACACTTTCTGTTTCTTCCTGACATCTTTGGAGTTAAGATGTACCCTTCATGTGACAGACTTGGTTACAAAAGAAAGCACTGTAATTTTGCCACTTCTGAGGCCTGACTCTTGCCTGTCATCTTAATATTTCTGAAGCTCTAATCTGAAATACACTGATATCCTTATCTGGCATGTGGATTCCTTTGTATCTGTTCCTTTTAGCATCTTGTCTTATATTCATATGTCTAGAGAACTTACTATAAAGTCCAGTGGATATGCTTCAAGATTGCTCATAAAACTCTCATTCTATAGGTTTACTACAGCTGGGACATATTTTCCTTCAATTTGCAAGACTGTGTTAACCAGGTTGGCTATAAATATTTATATAATTTTCCTTCTGTCTGTTCTCTCAGTCCATGAAGACTCAAGAAGGTCTGCCTTTCTATATCCATAGTCTTTCAAATTAAAGATGAGCCATTCCTTATCACACATTGTCACTCATATGTGGGAGCCAAAACAGATCTCATAGAGGTAGAGAGTAGAATTGTGGTTATTAGAGGTTGGGAAAAATGGGGGGCGAGAATGAAGAGAGGTTGTTTAGTGGGTACAAAAGTACAGTTAGATAGAAGGAATAAGCTGGAGTGTTTGATAGCACAGTAAGGTGACTATAGTTATCAGTAATTTATTGTATTTTTAAAAATACCTAGAAGAAAAGATTTGAAATATTCTCAACACAAAGAAATAAATATTTGAGGTGATAGATACCTCAATTACCCTAATTTGATCATTATGCATTGTACAAATGTATCAAAATATCACATATACCCCATAAATACATGCCATTGCTATGTATCAATAAAATTTTTTAAAAGAAAAAATGGCTATTTCCCTAGTGCAGGCTTTCAACATTATCTTTTGCAACTTTACTTTTAATTGCTTCCCTCTTTCCCTCCCTCCCTTCTGTCAAAACATACTCATTGACACTGCTTCTGTTAAACAGTGTTTGATTATAAGTATAGCCATACATTTAAGATTGGATTGAGTAGCTTCAGATACTATGTTTCCTTTGTGTGGCTGAATAAAGCTTTGACTATGTTGTGTGTAGAAGAAATTGAACAGTTTTGAAATGTTCTACTACATTTTCCATTTTCTGGCTTTTGCTTTCTAGACTTATCCAGTTGGGTTTGTGTCTTTTCAATGTACCCTGCTACTCTTGCTGATTGAACTGGTTTCAGACATGTCCCATGGCTGCCAACATCACCTGAATCGAATTTCTTGTTTTGGGTCCTCCCTGTGTATGATTTGATACTTATGTTTGTGGGACTTCATTTTATTTTCTAAAATGCTATTTTTCTGAATTATCAAAAGTTGGTGTGAACTCTTCCCAACTTCTAGGAAGTTAGCAGTCTCACCTATATGAGAGCAAATACAGACTTCCTGGGCTCATTGCTCTCATGTAGGTCGCTGATAAAAATAAATACCTTGGTGCTTTTTCTCTTAATGTAAAAAGTAGGTTACGGTGATCCCAAGGAGAATATCTTCTCATTTTACTGTGTTACAGAAATGCTGCTAGGCAGCAATCATGTAAGTCAATTGCTGCAGCTCTGCCATTTATTTTTCCTGAACATCCCACAGCTAAATGTAACATACGGCAATCATGCTTGAGGTTTTATTTTATTTTATTTTAGTATGTATGTGTGTGTGTGTGTGTGTGTGTGTATAATAACAAGATATTAAATTTACAGCTGCATTCCATTCTCCTGTGATAACTGATGTTAACAGCCAGTTGTGCAGGCTTCCAAAAATATTTAAACTTAGAGGCACATAGAAAGGGTTTTAAAAATACTATCACACTGTACATATTACTCTACAATTTTCTTTCATCACTTAAAATAACTTCATAGCATCTCTCTAGGTTAATAGACATATACTCTTTTTAGTAACTGCATGATATTTTACAGTCTATATATACCATAATTTATTTAACCATTACCCTATTGATGGCCATTAAGTTTGTTTCTATTTTTCACCACTGAAAATGTTGTTTTACAACATTACAATGTAACAATGCATATGTATTTTCATTGTGCTGCTTTTATTGCTGTAGGATAGATTGGGAAACTACAATTGCTAGATAAAGGTGTATGTATGTTTCTTATTGTGATAGATATTATTCATACTTTGTAAAAGGTCATAGCAATCACACTTCACTCAACGATGTAGGAGATTGTCCATTTTTCTGCATGCTTGTAAGCAATGGATATTTTTACTCTTTTAATTGTAGGCTAAACTGATGGTTATAAAAGAGTATCATGTTTTAATTTTTATTAGATAAGGTCAGTATCTTCTTTTGGTTTGTTGGTTAAATTTTATGGTCATTTGGATTTTCTCTCTTGTAGATATCCTGTTAAATAGCCTTTCCCTCTCTTTGAGTTGTTTTTCTCTTTTCGATTTGTAATATTTTATATTTTAGAATTAGTAATCTTTTATGTGCAATTTTAAAAAATAAACATGTAATTTTAACACAGCTTTAGATTTGCAGAACAATACCCTCCATACAGTTTCTCCTATTTTTAACATCTCATATTAATATGGTATACTTGTCACAATTAATGAACCAGTATGATACTTTATTGTTAATTAAAGTCCATATTTTATTCAGATAATATCCTTAGGTTTTTTTTTTTTCCTAATGTCCTTTTTCTGTTCCTGAGTACCATCCAGGAGACCATGTTACATCTTCTGTGTCTTTAGGCTCCTTTGTGCTGTGACAATTTCTCAGACTTTCTTTGTTTTTTGATGGCCTTGACAGTTTTGAGGAGGACTAATCAGGTATTTTGTAGAATATCCGTAAATTGGGATTTGTCTGATTTTTTTCACATATTGGACTGGGGTTATGGGAAGTGCTATTTTAATTGTATCAAATTGAAGATACATTCTATCAACATGACTTAGCATTGTTGGTGATGATCTTAATCACTTGGCTGAGGTAGTGTTTGTTATGTTTCTCCATTGTAAGTTACTCTTCCCCACTAACCCTTTTTTCACAGGTACTCTGGAAGAAAGTTGCAGCCCAGGGGACAGCAAGACTCCGTCTCAAAAAAAAAAAAAAAAAAGTGTGTGTGTTTTCTTACCTGGTGCATTTATTCATATGGAATTGTATGTAATCTCACATAGTTGGCATACCGATTTCAACAAAGTACAATTAGTTATAAGGGATGCCTCAAAATACCACACTCTGGGTAAAAAAACAAAGGTAATCAAGGCAATGCTATTATAATTAATACTTTTTAGAAATAGCTTCATAGTATTTGAAATCATAAACTTTTCTACTTGTCAAAGTTTTGTTCCATTTTCTAAATGATTTCATGTTTTTATTAGAGTCCTTTTCACCAAAGTCATATTGTTCTTAATATGTATAATATAGAAAAATATCTCTGATGTCATTTTAAGCCTAAATTATTTTTAAATGGATCGGGAAATAGTAGTGAATACTTTATTTCATGCATCACTGTGCCACTGATGATCACTCTTATGTCAAAAGTGAACAATTTCCTCATATTACTGAACAATTTCTTCTCAATAAAGCAGTGATTCATGACAGTTCCTGATGAGAAGTGTCTGTCCTATTGTAATTCCTTCTTCATTTACCTGGTGCAGCATCAGCCAAAGGCCCAGGAACCAGAGAATCTGAGCTTCCTGTGACAGACTTCCAGGACAAGACTTCCTCTTGTTGAAGCTTGCCTCTCTCACCCACCAGGTTCATGAAACAAATCCACTCAAGCCTAGCCTTCTCTGAATTGTTATCCACCCACTTTAATAAAGATCTGGGGGCTCAGCCAGACCATAACCAGATTCATATTCTATTTACAATCTGTATACATTTTAAATGAAAGCATATAAAACTGTCTTGGGGGATATTAAGAATGAATATGCACAGTATATCTGGTCTAGATTGCATCTGACTTTTAACAAAAATATTTAACATACACCTGTAATAGGCCAGAAATTCTATTTGCTAAGGATAGAGAAGAGTGCAAAATGGACATGGTCTCTATTGCTAGGTAGCTCAGTCTTAAGGTCTTTGATTTATCATTTCAGCTGCAAGAGAAAACAACATACTTGACTTAGCCTGGGTCTCCTGTAAGCCTTTTAAAAAATAAATAAAAGATAATGAAAGGTCTAACTGAAGCTCAATCACTGGCCCTACTTTCACAGCTTTTCAAGTGAAGTCTCATATTAAATGAAATAATCCATCTTAAGATGTCCTGTACATGACCTTGTGCAATGTAGGCCCTGAGGAAGCAGTATCCATCCCACCCATTTTTGGGGGATCCATTTAAACCAAGTTCTACTGTCCTTCTGAACTGGGGTTCTGCAAGATAATTAAGCTCTAATGTCCAGAGGCATCAGTTAATGGAGTGAATTAATTTCACTTCTATGCATCCAGAAGGGTACTACCTATGTACCACTCTCAGGAGACAAGAAAACAACTACTGAAGTCGTTTTCAGTAGTGCTTGCTTCTCTCATGCGAACCTCAGCTGAAGTTGAGAAAGGTTGGAGGATAGTGTCGCTTTCACCTTCTGTTTTAAAAAGCAAGGTTAAATTGAGGGGAAAATCTAATTTGGTAAAGGCACAGACCCTAGAACAACAATAAAAAATAAACCAGGAGCCAAAAGGTCTCTAGAGAACTAAGGAAGCAAAGAGAAAAGTTAGACTCACTGAAGGTGAGTGCTCTAAGCAAAACCTAACTGTGCAGAGTCCAGGGCCGAGGAAACATCAATCAGACTAAAATCAAATACTGTGTAGTTAAAACCAAAATAAACGCTCCCGTTCACAAAAAGAGACAGACCAGAAAAGTTTAGAAAATATTATGCTTCTGTGTATTCCTCAGGGGGCTTCAAAACATTTGATAAACCTGCTAAATGCTCAAATACCCTGCAATATTCTAATTACACGAAGGGAACAGGGCATGCCACTAAAAATCTCAAGACTGAGAAGTTATCCAGATGAGAAAGGTTTATGTCAGAAGTTAATTTGAAATTCCAAAAAGTGCTTAAAATAATTTATTTTAATTACTCAGTGTCTCTTTCCCAGACAGGAAATTACCTAACTCAAGGACATAGAAACTCATCATGACCTTATTCAAAGCTGACAAAGACACAACAAAAATTAATCTGTAGAGCTTCAGTGATACTGAAGTTAACATGTAAATGCCTACATCCATATAGTTCAGTCGCATGAGGCACACATGCAATAATTCATAATACCATATAATTCATATCATTACCAACAGGGTTTATCACAAATCGACTTTAAGCAAGTGATATAAAAATTAGATTTATATTTAATGCACTATTGTAAGTTGCACCAATTGCCAGTGTTAACACTGGCAGCATTTGATGCCAAAAAAGCTTTTAAATGCTTGGAAGGAGAATGCTTTCCAAAACTGTTAGGAAAAAAATTTTTAAAGGAAATTGGGAACAAAAAAAGAGAGAAGAAACATTTTTTTCTCTTGTAATTTAATATTCTGTAGAAAGACCATAAAGCATACTCTAAAGAAAATATATTTGGACTTCTCAATCAAGGACAGATGAAAACAAACTGCTCTTCCCTCCTCTCTCCTTCACAATTCATCAGTACAACTAGGAGGTGTGGCTGGGTGAAGTACTCAGCTTTCAGACACAGCAAGTGGTAACACTTGAGGATATTAGCTCATTTTCAGATGAATTTACATTTCATTTTTAAAATGAACACCACCTGTCTGAATTATCAGGTAGATTTTTAAAATGAAATAAAATACAGTGAACAACAATAACAATGAAAGTTTATCCCTAAGAGTATCTTTCTTCACACAACCAATTACTGAATTTCACAATTTCACAAAAATTGTAATTTGTAATGATGCATCTAATAATCTCCTCTGGCCACACTCTACCATTTAAAATAAATTCAGGTAAAATTATCAGAGGTGATTGCAAATAAAGCTATATATTACGCTCACCTTGATCTGTAACTTGACTTTTGATAATAATGCTAAGTTATTCCAACATATTTTAAAGTCCTTGGACATTGAGCTGTTCAAATACCATTGCCAACGAAGATTTGGATCGCCCACATACTTATGCCCCTAACATACAAAAGTCATAAGTCAATAAGCCTTCAAAACATGGAGGACCTATTTACTTCATCCTTTTTCAAGTAATTAGAAATGGTAGAGGCTAGAGCCCAAGTTCTGGGTCCCATTGAATTCAAAATATGACTTTCTAATTTCTAAGGTCATAATTTTGTGATCTTAACCTTTTTATACCTTAATTTTCTCACCTAAAAAGGAAAATAATATCTTCTGCATAACGCTATTATAGAGATTAAAAAAGATGATTTATACAGTGTTTTGTACACAGTGTTTTTGTACAGTTTGTGGTACATGGAGATAAACAAATAACTATAATTATTGTGAAGAAATTATGGATTTTAGGATGCCCTAGTTTGAATACTTACAAATACAACAGCTACCTTGGTTTTAGGAACTATTTAAGATAGCTTACAAAGATATTTAAAATATAAAGTCACTAAGTCAAAATGTAAACACTAAAAAGAAAAAGGGAAAAAAAAGATGAGGTTTTAAAAAAGGCAAAATATCAGAAAAGATGAGCTTTATCAGTTATATATAGTATGAGTCCTAAGATGGAACAATGACTTAGGAAAATAAATCAATAATCAACTGATACTAAAGCAAGATAGAAATTTTTCCCAAGAGTTATTCAAAAGAGGACAACGAATGGAACAAAAACATCAACAATACCCTTATAAAAGATAAATTTCACAATCTATTTCTCAGTATAGCTTCCCCACAAATTGCAGCTATACATTTTTTTTCAGAAGTCCCATACGGAGCAACCACAAGCACTTTTTGAGTTTGAGAAATTATTAATATAACAGACTTTGTGCTGAGTTTGCAAAGGAATTCCCAAAGGAACCTTTCCTTCATGGAGCAAAAATCTATAATTGTTACCCTATCAAACAAGCACACACACTCTGTACTGATTCTTCTAAAAGAGGGTCTTCATGGAGAAAGGAGAAAGCAGGTAATTTTTGAATGAATAAAGAACATTTCTGCAAAGAAAGCAAGAATCATACCAGAGATCATAACTGTAAGTACTCTGTAGAATTTAAGCTTTAACACCTCCTCATGCTTGTTAAAGTCTGTTTTCTCCTAGTAAGCAATGTCAAAACCCTGAAAATGAAAGGGACAACAAATTAGAAAGACTGCATTCCACACCACTGCCGGTTTGGAAAGGAAGAAAGGGAAGAGAGGGGAAGTCTGTGGGAGCAGACTGAAGTAGTCCCTGTGCCAGATATGTCCTGGAAAAGTTGAGCAGATGGCTAAAAAAAGATACAGAAATACCTCATAGAAAAGGAAGAATGATAATATCTGACTGTTATTGAGCGCTGAGCACTTTAAGCTGAGTGTACCATTTTAAGTTTACAACAACCTTACGAGGATAGTACTATAATTATATCCTTTATGCAAATAGGAAAACAAACACAAAAATGTTAAATCATTTACTAGCATTTCCACAGGGCTTGCAAATACTAGAGCCAGGATTCAAAGTCAGGCAGGCAAACTCCAAAGCCCTTTGACATTGCTGCACATTAGATGAAAAATCCACTTGCACATCTGATCCAATGCCTCACTATCCGAGTTAGCTTTGAACTTTAAAGAGCTAACCTTTAGATGCCTGCTCCATCACTGAGAAAAATTATTGAGGTCACTGTAGATAAGAAGTTACAGTTATTCATATCTACCCATGAAATATGACATTTACGGAGTTCTTAATCACTGGGCTAGCAACCCAACAGTCACTCTTTAAATTTACAGGGACTTTAGACACCATTTAAAATGTTAAGCAAAAACCTATCACCAACTTAAGGAATACATCCCATGACTGCTTTGCTCTCAAAGGCTGCAGAATCTTTCTAAATAACAGGCTTAGAATAATCTACATAGAATCAGAGTCTCATTTGGTAAGGTATGGGCAGTTACGATATACATAAACTGTTCTTGTGGGTTAAGATATCTTTGCCCCAACCAAGTGGTAAAATTTTGTTCTAAGAATCGGGCTACTCTTTTAAAAATTTAATCAAGGGAGAAAAGAAGATAACCACAGAAGGCTAGTCTTTAAAGTCTACTGCTGTCCTATTCAAATATCAAAAGACAGGGTAAACAAGGTGGACATAAAATGGTACTGAGATAACTTTCTCATTATCTTCAACACAAATTATTGTGCAATAGTTGCTATAACCCTCAGTTCTGTAAAAAAATTTCATTGTTTTGTTACCACTCTTACTAACTTATCTAACATTTATATGAGAACAATGTTTAAAGTGTTGGTCATCACTATTAAGAAATACAGGTACAGACTACTATCAATTTGCTTATTAAGTAAATAACTATGTAAGAAGCTCATCCTATGACTATAACAGGCACATCCTACAGGATAGGAATTAACGAAAGGAAAATGGAACAAAGTAAGGTCCCTGTCCATAAAGGGTTGATACATTAAGATGAAAAAAATTGGAAGTTATAATGAATTACAAGTAAATCTGAGTCAACCATATAGTTGGATGTGTTTCAAGATTTTTAAAATCACAGAGTTTAAAAAGAAGAATAAAAATGCTTGAAATTTTTAGGTTAGATCATTTAGAGAAAAATAAGCATAATAGAATTCAACTGTCTTAATAAAAGTTTCTGAGGGCATTAATAAACTCTGTCTTAGAGTTGGGCATGGTGGCATGGACCTGCAGTCTCAGCTATTCAGGAGGCTGAGGCAGGAGGATTCCTTGAGCCCAGGAGTTTGGGGCTGCAGTGTACCATGATCTCACCTACAGATAGCCGCTGTGCTCCAGCCTGTGCAACATAGCCAGACCCCATCACTGAAAGAAGATAAAATAAAACAAACAAAAAGCCAAGCTCTATCTCTGCAATAAAATTTAGGAAATGAAAGTTTGATCTGAGCAAACATAAGGACAGCCTTAATGATTGGGATGATTAAATTTTGGTGAAAAAACAGGACTTTTCCAGATCTAAAATCTGAAACATCAGTCAATTAAATATTGACCATCTTTTTGACAGAACCAACTGCAAAAATTGTGTATGGAAACAAGAGGTAACTGAATAGAACCTCAGGCCTTGTGACGCTAAAAAGAGAATGAGAAAGACCATAAGATAGGCAAAGCAGGGGGAAAAAAAATCTAAGCAATTTTAAGGAACGATAGGCCATTTCTTTCTAATATGTTTGCAGACCTTAAATAAGTGTTTTAATGTAAAGTTTTTCATTTAAAATCAGTTCTCAATTCTCCCACTCGGGAGTTGAACCATAGGTGCATTAGTATAATTGAGAAGGCATTTCCATCTTGTTGAATTTACTGTTAAAACTATTTTGCAATGTGGGTACATACCAACCTTCAGTTGTACCCAGTAAAAAGCCAAACTTGGAATGAACCAGCAACTGTTTTGCTAATCTATCAAGCAAACAATCCTCAAGTAGATAGCCCTGAGTTGACTTTTCCATCAGGCCAACCTTCAATTTTGAAAATAGCTACTTAAAATAAAGCCTTAAAATGCATGCCAATAATGTAAAGGTGTCAGAGCTTTATTTCTGAGTTCCACATCATGATTTTGTTTTAACCCTGTCAATCAACAAGCCTTCAGGAAGACAATTTTTTATTAGACATTAATAATGTGTTCATTATGCCCACCACATGGTTAGTAAAAAATGGAGAACTGGCCTAGGTGTCCAAGTAAATAATGATGAAAAATGATCACTTAAACTTTTGGTTTCCATACCTCCTAATTTCACAGAGATGTGGTAAGAACATGATAAAATAATGGATATGAGTGTTTCTCTTAAAGTCATTCAAATTCAAGAAACTATTATTATAAGCCTAATACGTGTATCCTAAGACCCTCTCAATGGCATAATAATGAGAATAGAACATATCAAAGAGACCATTGATGCATTTCTATAGGTCAAAAAACTAGATCACAATAAAACAACAACAACCATCCCATTAGTTCAGTTAATTCACATTAAGCATGTATAGAATGCCTACTACATCCTGAACATTGTGGAGATATTTCTTGTGCTCTGGGTATAGAAAAATTAATAAGAATGGTACTCAATATTTGGAGCTTACAGTTGTTCCACTGACTATAAATGCATATTATCTGATAAATAATGAAAATGATCACACTGTATGAGCTGGACAGTTACTTTATTTGACCTCATAAAGCAGACATAAAATAAAAACACAAAACTGATGCTGCCATCTGAATATCCATTAAACATCCACATAACAAATTTCACTTCTATAAATATATCAGCTTGAAAAAAACAAAAAGCAAACCCAAAACAAAACAGTAAACTCTTGCTTTCAGTTTTTAGATAATTATCTTATTTCTTCAACTGATATGTGCACATGAAGTTTGAGAATAAACTTTCTACCCCCTCGAACACATGGATGCAAGAGAACCACCTCCAGCCCGAACTGGTTATGATTTGAATAGCAGGTCTCAAACAAGTTCGACTTTACCTTAACTGGAATTTATCTAACTCAAATATTGCCAGTGCCATTTACTATTTTTATTGAATAGAAAAAAGGCTCAAAATCAATTTGGACTATACTCTTGGGGGTTGGGAATTCACAAATCCAAGGAAGGAACTTTTGGTTCCAGAGTTGAGTTATAAAGGAAAAAAAGTATCTCAGCATTTCAAAACTTGCTCAGAAAGGAAAAGTTATCTTTGCATTATAAAGAAGTTCAACACAAGAAGTATTCTCTCAAGTGTACAGCAAAATTTTTACTCTACTTCTGATAGGAAGAACACAAATGCATGTTTGAAGCTAAAAAGGGTAGTTTCTCAAAACTTGTATTTTTTGCCTTTGTGATTTTTTTCCTAACTAAATTGAAACTGACCAATGAGATTTTGAAAGAACTCCATTGTTCAACAGTATCCTATAATCATAGAAGTAGTTCTCACTAATCGCTGAAATAGCTTAAATAATTAGAAATTACAATCAATACCACTTGAAGCCCTGCCAACCTAAAAGACACAATTTTGCAGTGGAAAAAGAAAATTAGAATGCTTAATTGCAGAAGGAAGAAAAGATATTCTTACTGAAAGAATGAACTAAATTTGGATTAAAATTATATTTGTTTTTTTGTCACAATACCACAATCATTTGTTTCAATCAAGAGCAGGGGTGGGCAGGGGGTGGGTGGAGAAAAGGAGAGAGGGATCAAAGCACCTTGCTTAGTAATAGTCCCTTCCTATGTCTCTTTCCATCCCAGGAGTGTCCCTAGGAACACTGCATTGCCAGCCCATTTCTCACTGACCCAGCAAGCACACACAAATTTTCCTATCCTGGGAATCTTTGCCTCTAAGAGAACTAATAACATGATCCCATTGCACTTACACTTCAATTGAACTTGCAAATGAAATTTGCAGACTAGGATGATCAATTGTATTTCTTGGCTTGATTCAACTTCAGAGCCTCACCGCCAAAACGCTGACTGTGTAAACTCACTGAAACTAATCTGAGCCTTTCTTTAAGCAAGTTCTATCCTGATCAGGTTGCTTTTTTTTTTTTTCATCAAAATGAATGCAAGCTCAAATACTGGGTGGAGTTAGCCCCTATGATTATTACAAAACACTTATCAACCAGAGTGAAACTATGAAAGGATTAGATCCTGAAGACTGTCCTATTTAATAGTCCTAGCAGCCAGGGACAACAACAAAAACAAAATTTATTATGTGCCTATTCTGTGCCATACACTGTGCTTAATCTTAAGAATATAAGTCAAATAAAACAAAAGGGCTCCCCCAAAGCCACATCATTTATTCAACAAATTAATGTGCCAAGCACTATTTTATATGCTGGGGCTAACAGCAGTGAACACTACGCCCTTTTGAAGCTTACATTCCAGTGGGCATAAACAGGCACTCTTTTAAAAATCAATAAGAAAGTCATGTGGTATTTTAGATGGTGATAAAAGTCTATAAAATAAAATTTAAAATAAGCTGGGAAATGGGTAGATAATGCCTATAGTGGGAGAGTCTTGACTTTTTAAACAAGGTGGCTAGGAAAGGTCTCACCAAGTACGTGGTATTGAAACACGAGTGAATATCACCTTTGATATGAAGGTGGAGGTGAGAGAGTAAGCCAAAATGGCTATCTGGAGAAAAAGTAATTGAGGCACAGGGAAAAGCCAGTGAAAATGGCTTAGGGCAGGATTATGCCTGGCCAGGAGGACCAGCAAGAAGATCGGTATAGCAAGGAAGGAGAAAGAGATAAGGTCACAAAAGTTTATATATATATATGTATGTATATTATTATATATATGTATATTATATACATATAATAATGCTTGGCACATTAATATATATTATTTATATGTATATATTATATATGTATATTATATATATACATATGCTTTGATCAGTGAGGAGGCTATTACGGTATTCCAGGCAAGAGATGATGGGGAAGGGACAAGGGTGATAGCAGGGCACAGGGTCAGAGCCTGAACATATAAGTTAGAGCTCTCTGATTATATGCAACAGAGAACCATTATACCAAAAGAAAAAAAAGCTCACAGAATATTGGTGAATCTCATGAAATTGACAGGGAATATAGAAAACCAGACTTGCAAACAGGATAGGAGCAAGGCCAGGGATTACTTACAGGGCAATATCTCTGGAATGCATGAGCTCCAACTGTTGCTTCCGGCTTTGCACCATTCCACTCAAGATTCAATTAACCAGGAAAATCCAACTTTCCAAGCTTAGGTCACATGCCCATTTCTTGGCTCATACCCAACAGTAGAAGGTGAGAATCAAGGGCTTCTCTAGCAGGAGCCCAAGGCAGTTTTATTCATTAGCCCCAGTTCCTCAGGACTGCCCTCAGTGGGAGAGAGATAACACCCCAAAAGGAAACCTGGATGCTAATAGGAAGGAAGACTGAATGCTAAGAAGCCTAGACTAGGAAGCTATTTATGTCCATTAGATACTATTTGCTATCTAGTGGATAAAGGCAGAATTATAAGTGAAAGATATCTCGGAATAAAACGTGTTTCACAAATTGACACATACTTTTCAGTAAAAAGATACTGGTGATGTCCAGCTGTCATTTTACCCTCTCTAGATAAAAACATAATCCTGGTTCTTACCAGACTGCCGTGGAGATTATTTTGCTGCTGAGCGGTCACACAAAGTTTTTGCTTGAAAGGCCTTAAATCTCTAGATATGCCATTTTGAAAAATATTTAATTTGCTTTTTAGGCGTACATAATACATAACACATATCTACTACACCTTCCTCTCAGAAGAATCAAAGGAAGTATATTTTAACTGGTTCATAGATGAATAACCTTGTGACATTCTGACTATAAACAGCTGAATAAAGGTTCAAATATGTCATCTTAAATCATTCTTTTCACTTTCTTTAGATAGTTTCTTTCCTTTGAACAGAAAATATATATGTGAAAACATAATAGTCACTCATTCTTTTAGTAACAGATTATGCAAACCCTCCAGCTTATATCTCCAGGGTACAAGCTGGTGATATGAGCCCCAGACCTTCCAAACAAGCAGCTGCTGCTCTGATCTAGTCAATTTTGCCACTTAGGAATGCACATCTAGAGATCCCAGGTCTTCCCATTTTTTAAAAGAAGCTGGGATTCCAGATTTTTTTAATGTGAAACCTCTAGATTTTAAATGCTGGAAACTTTGGGGTTTGGGTTGTTTTTGTTTTTACTTCTGTTTTAATTTTTGAACACCATGCTGAAAACTTTTAAAAATTTTTTTCAACTCTATATAGGTCAAATAAAACACCTAAGTGTGACCTCTCTGGTCTCCATTCCAAATACCTTCAAGGTGTGATCAGACCTCAATAGAGATCCCTTGACTTCTTTTGTCTATTTCCAATAATAACAACACAATCCTTTTTTCCCCTCATGGGAACCAGATTAAGTCTATGGCAAAGACATGTGATTCTCTGATAATTCCCATTATAGTCCAACTGCAAGCACAAAATGATGCATGCATTTAGAGCAATTTAAAAACGACATTTTCCAATGAAGATACGGAAGTACCCTGGCTTGCTGCTCTCTGTATAATGTCCAGTACCACAAAGGGAGTGTGGTGAAACTAGTTAGGGTGAGACTGCCCTGCTGATTGGAGTAGCCCATGAGAAACACATGAACTTAGCTAAAAGAGTCACTTAAGCAATGAAGTAACTGACGCTAAGAAAAAAAAAAAAAGTATGCTGAAACAGTACCTCAGGGGAAAAAGCCACAATTAGAAAGAAGGCTCTTGTTAATTTCCCCAGCCCCAACCTTCTTCCTCAGCCCACCTTCCTAGTTCTTTTAGATGGATTGGCTTCTTTAAGTCAACTGAGCACCATGAACACCAGTCCACGAACACAATGGACCAAAAAAAAAAAAAAAAGCAAATTTCCAAATGCAGTTGAGAAGAAATTTTTATGGAATGTGCTCAGAGAATTGGTTAGTCAGTAGACATTTATGTAAATATTTTTAAGGTATTTATAAGTGACCTAATCCAGACAACAAGGCTTCCTTTTGCATTTTTTGCTCAGCACAGTGGAAGCTTTATTCACAAACTCTACGTGAAAGAAACATATTTTTCCATCCCATGGCTAAGTATCTGTAGAATCATTTCCTTTCTACAATGCAAACTTGGCCCATGGCTTATCCACTTACTCAGGTGAATGGCAAACCACAATTGGGAGAGGGAACAATGGGGCACTGCCCTGAGAAAGTGCTTTTTGCCTACTCAAAGCATTCACAAACATTAACCAATTAACTGGTAGGTGAAGTTGGCCTTAAAAAAAAAAAGAGAGAGAAAACTACAGCTGAAGAGATTTCAAAGCTTTCTCTACAAAGGGATTCAGTGTCTAAGTCTGAATTGGAACTTGGACCTTCCAAACATTAGCAGTTCAGAGATTCAACTCATGTAAACATTTGAAAGGTCAGCTGTTCATCAAATACTTTTCCAACTACAGCAAACGTATCCTTATTAAGTTTCTTTTGCAAAAGTTCCAAGGTGCTGAACACTCATCCATTGCCACCAATAATTAACAATTCCAAACAACCTAAAGACAGAGAACTTTTTGTAGGCATTTTGAAATTTCAGACTATCTTAGAAACAGGGGATGTGGAAGTGGTAACGGGCAAAAGGCATGCTAGGAAAAAGAACATCAGGCTGAATTTTTTTCCCAAGATTGGTTCTTCCCTTTTTCAAACAGATTTGCAGAAATAAGAAAATAGTTTGTCCTTTTCAAATAAAGAGTTGGTGCTTCCTGGAAATGGGCAGAGAAGTAAAAACTAAGCAAAACAATATCGTTTGGTCTAATATTTAAGACTTAACAAAACTTGGAGGCATAAATGGGCACTACAGTCATTCCTTATTCTATCCAGTTAACTTTGCTTCAAACATATCTGCCCAGAGTTTAATGACTTTAAAAAATTACCTGAAGTTCATATCTACCATAAGTTATTTCCCACACGTTCTTTCTGCACATCTGACACGCGGAAAAAATCACAAGCCTAATTTAAACAATACCATTTATTGTCGAACTTGAGAACTGAACAGCTACCAGCTTTAAAAGGTTTCCCTGAGTCTCACACACACACACTATTTTATACTAGTTTCTACACGGACATGGTTAACGTGACAGGGTTATGTGATGAGCTATGTGGTACATCACCAAGAAGAGAGGACTCTTGTGAAAGCAGGGTTTAAATCTCTATGTCGGATTCAAAATTAATTTGAAATAAATGGTAGACCTAAATATAAGAAACTATTAAACTTCTAGAATAAAATCTCTGTGACATTGGGTTAGGCAAAAATTTCTTAAGCAAGACACAATTAGCACAATAAAGAAAAAAAAATAGGTAAAATGAAGTTAATCAAAATTTAACATTTTTGCTCTCTAAAGACACAAGTAAGGAAATGAAGCCATTGGAAAGCAGCAGCCAGGGCTGCTCACCTCCAAGGCGGAGATCCTTAACAAAGGCTTCAGGGTGACCAAGACATGAGCAAGCCAGGGTACAGCCACTACTGCCACCCCGCCAAGCATACAAAGTTCAAGTTGCCATGTGGAAAGTAGTCAAGAAGGAATGAGCCTTCTATGCATAATAAAACCCCATAATTTAAAAATAAAATAAAAATGCAAGCCACAAACTCTGAGAAAATATTTGCAAACCATATATTTGACAAAGAGCTTGAATCCAGAATACTTTTAAAAATACATACAACTCAGTAGAAAGAAGATACACTACCCAATTTTTTAAAAAAGTAAGCTAAAGATTTGCACAATGGCATGCAAATGAACAATATGCAAATGATGATATGCAAATAAACAATAAGCCTAAGAAAGATGCTCAATGTCATTACTCATCAAGAAAATGTACATTAAAACTACAACAAGAACGACCAGTAAACATCTACTAGAATAGCTAAAGTTAAAAAGACTGACAATATCATATGTTGCCAAGGATAAGAACAACCAGACTCTAATATATTGCTGGGGAGTACAACACAGTATAGCCACTCTGGGAAACAGTATGGCAGACCCAGCAAACCCACTTCTAGGTATTTACCCAAGAGAAATGAAAACATATTTCCACACAAAGAATTTTACATGAATACTCATAGCAGCATTATTGATAATTGCCAAATACTGGAAATAACCCAGATGTCCATCAACTGGTGAGTGGGTAAACAAATCAGAGTATATCTATGACATGAAATACTACTTATCAATAAGAAAGAAAAAACTACTGATCAAAACAATAATACAGATGGATCTCAAAAGCTTTATATTAAGCAAAACAATCCAGACTAAGAAGACTATCATATTGTATGATTCCATGTATATGACAATCTGGAAAAGGTAAAACTAGAGTGACAGAAAGCAAATCAATGGTTACCTGGAGCCAGAGGTCAGGAGAACGGATAAAATGCAAAGGGGCACAAAGGCTACTTTCTAGAATAATATAATTTATCTATATCTTGATTATGGTAAAAGTTATAATAGCTATCTACAATTACCAAAATTCATTAAACTGTATACTTCAAAGAGAAATTTATTTTATGTAAATCATACCTCAATAAAGCTAAAAAAAAAAAAAAAGAAAGAAATGACCATGTCAGGAAGTCTTCATTTCCTCCTGTTGTTCTACAAAATCTTGCTCTTTGAAATAGTCTGGGTACTTCACAATTTCGTAACAGATTCGAGGTGTCCTTTCAGAATGAACCCATTAAACATTGTACATCTGTGATATGTTTTGATATTGTTTTAGGTCAATAAGACACACCAGAAAACTGTAACAATGATTTGACTTTCTCCTTAGTCACCTTCAGAACACCATTTCTTAAAGCAGGAAGACCACATCTAAAGCTGGTATACTCACAGTGTAATGCAATTCAACAAGCCTTTATTGAGTGAGTGTCTGCTGCCTTGAACTCTGGAACCAGACTGCTATTAAATTGATTCTAATTACAGGTCTACCACTGAATAGTATCACCTTGGACAAGTTACTTATCTGTGCTTCAGCTTCCCCATCTATAAAATGGAGGTAACAGCCATGCCTACCTAATAGGGTTGTTCTGAGGAATCAATGAGTTAATTCATTAAAAGTGCTTAGAACAGGGCCTAGCCCATAAACAATCACCTTGCCTTTATCATTAGGTGTGTGGTGCTAACACTATACAGACAGATAAGACAGGGTTTGTTTTTATTGTTTGTTTTGATGAGCTCACAGTTCAGCAGAAAGAAAGAGAACGAATAACAACATATCACAAGGGACACAGAGAGAAATGTTTAAGTACTGTTGAGAGCACAGATGTGTGAGCAACTTCATAGTGGTAGTGGGGAGCTTGTCAAGGACTTACAAAGAGCAACTAAGTTTTGGAGGAAAAACGGGAGTTCTTCAGACAAGAAAGAATGCAAGCAATAGTTATGATCATGTACTAAATATCTGTTAAATGCTATACACTCTGCTATCTATATATTTTACATGGGCCATTTCTCTTGTAATTGTTGCGATAACCCCATGAGACAGATACTACAGAACCCATTTTACATATGAGCAAACTGAGTGTAACACATTGTGAGTCACTTGCTTGAGGTCACACCACTAGTACATACCTTAAACAAGAATCCAAACTGACTCAGAAACTTGAGCAGAGAAAACAGCATTGCAAAGCATGTGGCTAGTTTTGGGAAACTGGAGAGCTCAATGTGATTAGAACACAGATCAGTCTAGAAAGATGAGGTCTTAGGGGCCCTGCAACCAGTAACTATATCTTAGACAGGCAACTCCATTACGCTTCTCCCAGGCAGAAAGCCTCTTATGGCCTGCTGCTTCAGTGGGTATTATTTAGTAAGCATAGTCTTCCTTCATTAAATCATGAAATCAGCAGTAGAGGTTTCTTAACATGTGGTTCAATGATCATATGTGTCAGAAGCCCTGGAAAATTTGTTAGAAATACAGATTTTCAAGGTACCACACAAGTCTATAGAATCAGAACCTCTTTGACCCGTAAACACTCCTTTTTAGTAACCTTTTCACGAGTTTCCTATATTCACCAAAGTTTGAGAGCCTCAGTGGTGGCAGATTTACTCAGAACTCTTCCTCTCTGGGCTCCAAGAGCTGAGCTCTCAAACTTCAATGTACATACAAATCCCCTGGGAATCCTTTTAAGAATCAGATTCTGATTCAGTGGGTTGGAGGGATAAGAGGACTGAATTCTGCCAGGTGTTGTAGACATTGCTGGTCCACAGACCACTCTAGGGGTCACAGGGTTGTAGAATATCCCACCCAGATTTCTTCTCTGCTTCTACTATCTCTCCTGCTCTTGTTTGTCTCCAGAATACTTTTCCTTGCCCAGGTTTAGTGCACCTTAAAACAACCTTCTATTTACTTACTGCCTAAAAATGTTTTACCTTTGCTGAGAGAAGATGATCAAACTGTTTTTATTTTCATACACTTATTGTTGAAAAATGGTACTTTAAAAAACATGTTTCTTGGCTCTCTGAAATTCTAGAAGAGCCTAAGAGGTCAGGCTAGTAGTATAAAAAATAGAGGGACTGATGATGACAAAAGTGTGAAAAATGAACTTTCTTTTGTGATATAATGCACATAGTCATCTGGATCAATTAACATTTTCTTCAACACACTCTTTTAAATAACATAACGAAACTAACAGCCCTGCCATCTCTGGAGTCATCAAGGATTGACTAAGGAGGAGTCTTAGTCAGAATAAATCTCCTTATTTAGAACTTAAAAACCTGAGCTCTCTGGTCTCCTGTGCAGACATGCTCTGGAAGCCTCTCCTTACTGGCACTCCTGCAAGGAAAGAGCTGTGTACAACCAGCTGCCAAGGCTTCAGCTCCCTGGCACCAGGCAATGGCAAAAGCCACTCCAGCTGAAAGGCGTCTTTTGCCCTCTGGGTGAGAATGGCTGCTTTAGAAAATGGCCTTAAGTTCCTAATGGCACTAAGTTCCTAAAACTTTCTTTTTTCTCTGAGCTATCATATTTTCAAAGCATTAATCCTTGCAAAGGTGCAAGACTCCCACTTTATATTTTGCAGTGCATTTCCTAATGTGTGTCTACTAACCTGGACTCATTCCTGGCTTTGCAATTCAGTTACTTTATCTTGTGGTTCAAACACTTCTGTTTGTTGTTCCCACTTAATTCAGATAAATTAAATAGGCACTTTCAGGAAGGGGTTGGATTACCCACTCTCTATAAAATAGACAGGCCTGCATGCCAAGGATTACCTAGAGACAATTTATTTGATTTGGTGCATTTTAGGTGAAGGACATAATTTGGTCTCAAATTCCACATCTTTGCCCTGAAGTCTTAGTTCTAAGACTAAAAGAAACCACCAATCCAATTTCTAGCCTGCTGTTAAGAAGCATGCTGTCAATGTAGAGATAAATCAATACTTTGAAACAAAACTTAAGACTTTCTTTGGTACTTAATAAGCCCTTCTAGATGGGATCAACCATCTATGGGAGAAACCAAGGAGGATTCTAAACAAATTTGGGAAATACAGATGGTCCCTGACATAATTTTTTAACTTGACTATGGTGCACAAGTGATGTGCATTCAATAGAAAGAGATATGATATTATCTCTCTCCATCTCCCGCCATGCTGGACAGCAGCAATGAACCACAGTTCCCAGTCAGCCGCATGATCATGAGGGTAAACAACCTACACTCTACATTGTACTATGTTGTCACATGATTTTGTCCAGTTGTTGGCTAACATAAATGTTCTGAGCACATTTCAGCTCATCATAGCTAGGCTAAGCTATGCTATTTGGTAGCTGAGGTGTATTAAATGCATTTTCCATTTATACAATATTTTCAACTTAACAATGGGTTTATCAGGATGTAACCCATTTGTAAGTGAAGGAACATCTCTAAATATAGTTCAATTTTCTCTCGTTTCTGCTTCCCTCTTCATGACTTACCCCAGTTATTCATTTAATATTTTTTCTTTAATAGCAACTATGTATTATACACAGTTAGGATATATATATGTAACTTTAAATAAGTCAAATACAGTCCCTGCTCTCACAAAATTTATCCTCCTAGTGGAGGATATGGGAGTAAGCAATCACAATATAATAGGTTCCATTTTTTATTTACAGTAATTGCCAACCAATCTTTGCCATGATTTGATGTTTACTTTCACTCAGTAGGTTCCAGTTTACAAGGCTGGTTATTACTTCCCAGGCAGGATCACTATGCCTGCAATTTGTATAGCTGCTAGGGGACAAAATGGAGTCCTGAATTAGGTAATATATTCCCACTGGCTTTCCCCAGACACACCTCTCAGAATATTAATAATTGAGAATATATTAACATATTATTATTGATTGAATATTAATAATTGAGAATTGGTAATTTAGAATATAATTATTAATAACTGAGAATATATTAATAATTGAGTCCATTTTTCTTATTGTATAAAAGAAGCTTTTATTAAACTAATAATATAAATAGAAAACTACTCATTAACATTTCTAATTATAAAAAACTATATAAAATATATATAGTTTTAAAACTACATAAAATAAAGTTTAAAAAAATGCACAGCTGGGTACAGTGGCTCATGCTTGTAACCCCAGCATTTTGGGAGGCCAAAGTGGAAGGACTGCTTGAGGTCAGGAGTTTGAGACCAACCTGGGAAACATAGCAAGACAAATTTATTTACTTACAAAAATAAATAAATAAAGCAAATCCATACAAATAAATTGGTGCCCTCCAACATATAACCTTGACTCCCATCAGTACTTGCTGAATGTAGCTTTGCTTCTTAGGTACTGTGATGTTGTGATATAATAATAAATAAATATTTGGTCTTTGTCCCCAGTTCCTGGCACAAAGCTTCTAAAACACTAGCAACTTCCTGAGTAATAGAAGTGAAAGCAGCATCTTTCATTGTTCATAATAAGCCACTTCCAACCACACCTGAGTTTATGCTAATGAGGTGAGTCTTGAAGGATGGAGGCTGGTTACCAGAGGAACCAACTGTGTGTTTAGAGGATTGAAACCTTCAGCCCCATCTGGGGAGGGAAGAGGAGCTGGAGATTGAGCTAATCACCAAAGGCCAATGATTTAATCAATCATGCCTACATAATAGAGCCTTCATAAAACCCCTAAGCAAAGGTATTGGGAAAGTGTCCAGGTTGGTGAATGTGTCCACTTGCCAGGAAGGTGATGCATCCAAAATTCCACGGATACAGAAGTTCCTGTACCTAGGACCATTGGCTGGACTTTGTCCTATGAACCTATTCATCTGACTGTCATACTGTTCATTTGTATCCTTTAGAATATCCTTTATAATAAACCAGTAATACGAAGTGTTCCTCTGAGTTCTGTGAGTGGTTATAGCAAATTATCAGACTTGAGGAGGGGTCCACGTAGCCAGGTCAGAAGTATAGGTAACCTGGGGACTCACTACTTGTGATTGGCATCAGAAGTGGGGAGCAGTCTTGTGGGACTGAACCCTTAACCTGTAGGGTCTGCACTCACCTTGGGTGTCAGAATTAAATTGAATTGTTGATCCCCAGTTGGTCTCTGAAGAGAACTCGAGAATTTCTTGGTCTAGAAAATCCATATACTTGGTGTCAGAAATGTTGTGAGCAGAGAAACTGTTTCCCATTAGGCCCAAACAAAATTTCTCCCTGACTTGATTTTTTAGAATTGAAAACATTTAGCTATACTCATCTGATTGTGCTCTGGAGCTGCTAAGTGAAAGCTGACCTCTTTGACCTGCTTACTGAGATTAGACATCTCCAAGTTTGTAACCATCTCCTTCCCTAATCACCTAGGCAGGCCTCATTTTCCCCATTCTGTAATTGTATGGTTAATTTTACTAACCTTCCCACCTGGAGAATGCTCCTTCCTCACAGTTGCCCTCTCTTTCCTGATTCCTTGTACCTCAGCCAGAGTAAAAAGAACAGGAGACTGAAGTTATATAAATGTGAGGAAATCATCCAGTGATAATCTCTTCAAAGCAGTAAAAACTATGACCCTTGACAACCCCTCCAGCTAATTCACTCTGAGCCTTTTTCTGAATGGCCCATTTGTTTGAGAGGTAATTTATATATAATGGTAAGATTACTGTAACCATGATTTGTATATTCAGATCTTACTTTATCAGAGGATTATCTTTATTGATTGATTTTGAAACTATATTTCTTCTCAGAAGAAATTGAGATAACTTGAACAAAAAGCCACACATACAATTAAACTGTAAGATCAAGAAAAGCACACGGGTAAATAAAACAAGAGAAAAAACCTGATGATAAAACTTCCCAGAACCAGCCACCCCCACTGTAATTTGTGGAAATCTATCCTGATAAACCATCTGCAATCTTGAACAGTATTTATTTGGTGTTGTATGTCACCCCATTCTCTAATGTATGGAGAGTTTTTGGGAACTGGAGATGTATCTTAGTCAACTTTTTTATTCTAGGGGCCTTGGCAAAGTGCTAGACACAGACTGGATTTTCAATAACAGTTTCTTGCATTCACTCCGAATTTCTAAATTTCCACTCGATTTCTTCTAAAAGCGGTGCTTTATTTTTTTTCTTTTTTTTTTATCATTTTTACATGTACTTTAAATATACTAAAATAGAACCATTTTGAAACACAGTTTTATGTGGTTTCTTTCCTATGATATTAAGACGTTAGTTTATAAAGAATTAAGATGTGGTATCTTCCCCAAATAATTTGTATTTTTAAAGCCCAGGGAAAACTACTCTACCGCTTCTGCATCCTCTTTCAATTTGCTGCCCCCTCATCAAATAAATCCTCCACCCACCAGACAACTTTGCCACACAGGTGTGCAGAAGATACAATCTTCAAGCCAGAACACTTCCTTCCCACCTCTCTTGACTCTTCACAGATGGGAACATCACCCCCACTCCTGCTCAGAAATATTAGCAAGTGAAGATCCAACATTTTGAATCCAAAAGATTGCCAAACACTCTTAGAGGACAACTGATCACTGCCAAAAAGCATTTGTAAATTCCACAACAAACAATTTATCTTCGAGTCTCAAAGCCTCATCAACATTTTCTAGTAAGATTCCAGATTACAAAGAAAAAATTGTAATGGCTTTCATTACACAATTTGGTTTTGGAAAATGTAAAATTTATATCAAGGTAAAACTGATTACATTTATTCTTTATTATAATTATTTCCTAATGCAAATATCACTAATAACATCTGTGTTTTTGCCAAGCATGTTTAAAAATGTTATAATTCTGATAGAAAGCATGTTGGGAGGAGCCAAGATGGCCAAATAGGAACAGCTCTGGTCTACAGCTCCCAGTGTGAGCGACACAGAAGACGGGTGATTTCTGCATTTCCATCTGAGGTACCGGGTTCATCTCAATAGGGAGTGCCAGACAGTGGGCGCAGGTCAGTGGGTGCACGCACCGTGCGCAAGCCGAAGCAGGGCGAGGCATTGCCTCACTCAGAAAGCGCAAGGGGTCAGGGAGTTCCCTTTCCTAGTCAAAGAAAGGGGTGACAGACGGCACCTGGAAAATCGGGTCACTCCCACCCAAATACTGCGCTTTTCCGATGGGCTTAAAAAACGGTGCACCAGGAGATTATATCCCGCACATGGCTTGGAGGGTCCTATGCCCACGGAGTCTCGCTGATTGCTAGCACAGGAGTCTGAGATCCAACTGCAAGGTGGCAGCAAGGCTGGGGGAGGGGCGCCTGCCATTGCCCAGGCTTGCTTAGGTAAACAAAGCAGCCGGCAAGCTCCAACTGGGTGGAGCCCACCACAGCTCAAGGAGGCCTGCCTGCCTCTGTAGGCTCCACCTCTGGGGGCAGGGCACAGACAAACAAAAAGACAGCAGTAACCTCTGCAGACTTAAATGTCCCTGTCTGACAGCTTTGAAGAGAGCAGTGGTTCTCCCAGAATGCAGCTGGAGATCTGAGAACAGGCACACTGCCTCCTCAAGTGGGTCCCTGACCCCTGATCCCCGAGCAGCCTAACTGGGAGGCACCCCCCAGCAGGGGCAGACTGACACCTCACACGGCCGGGTACTCCAACAGACTTGCAGCTGAGGGTCCTGTCTGTTAGAAGGAAAACTAACAAACAGAAAGGACATCCACACCAAAAACCCATCTGTACATCACCATCATTAAAGACCAAAAGTAGATAAAACCACAAAGATGGGGAAAAAACAGAGCAGAAAAACTGGAAACTCTAAAAAGCAGAGGGCCTCTCCTCCTCCAAAGGAACGCAGTTCCTCACCAGCAATGGAAAAAAGCTGGACAGAGAATGACTTTGACGAGCTGAGAGAAGAAGGCTTCAGATGATCAAATTACTCCAAGCTACGGGAGGACATTCAAACCAAAGGCAAAGAAGTTGAAAACTTTGAAAAAAATTTAGAAGAATGTATAACTAGAATAACCAATACAGAGAAGTGCTTAAAGGAGCTGATGGAGCTGAAAACCAAGGCTCGAGAACTACGTGAAGAATGCAGAAGCCTCAGGAGCCGATGCGATCAACTGGAAGAAAGGGTATCAGCAATGGAAGATGAAATGAATGAAATGAAGTGAGAAGGGAAGTTTAGAGAAAAAAGAATAAAAAGAAATGAACAAAGCCTCCAAGAAATATGGGACTATGTGAAAAGACCAAATCTACGTCTGATTGGTGTACCTGAAAGTGACAGGGAGAATGGAAACAAGTTGGAAAACACTCTGCAGGATATTATCCAGGAGAACTTCCCCAATCTAACAAGGCAGACCAACATTCAGATTCAGGAAATACAGAGAACGCCACAAAGATACTCCTTGAGAAGAGCAACTCCAAGACACATAATTGTCAGATTCACCAAAGTTGAAATGAAGGAAAAAATGTTAAGGGCAGCCAGAGAGAAAGGTCAGGTTACCCACAAAGGGAAGCCCATCAGACTAACAGCGGATCTCTCGGCAGAAACTCTACAAGCCAGAAGAGAGTGGGGGCCAGTATTCAACATTCTTAAAGAAAAGAATTTTCAACCCAGAATTTCATATCCAGCCAAACTAAGCTTCATAAGTGAAGGAGAAATAAAATACTTTACAGACAAGCAAATGCTGAGAGATTTTGTCACCACCAGGCCCGCCCTAAAAGAGCTCCTGAAGGAAGTGCTAAACATGGAAAGGAACAACTGGCACCAGCCGCTGCAAAATCATGCCAAAATGTAAAGACCATCGAGACTAGGAAGAAACTGCATCAACTAATGAGCAAAATAACCAGCTAACATCATAATGACAGGATTAAATTCACACATAACAATATTAACTTTAAATGTAAATGGACAAAATGCTCCAATTAAAAAACACAGACTGGCAAATTGGATAAAGAGTCAAGACCCATCAGTGTGCTGTATTCAGGAAACCCATCTCACGTGCAGAGACACACATAGGCTCAAAATAAAAGGATGGAGGAAGATCTACCAAGCAAATGGAAAACAAAAAAAGGCAGGGGTTGCAATCCTAGTCTCTGATAAAACAGACTTTAAACCAACAAAGATCAAAAGAGACAAAGAAGGCCATTACATAATGGTAAAGGGATCAATTCAACAAGAGGAGCTAACTATCCTAAATATATATGCACCCAATACAGGAGCACCCAGATTCATAAAGCAAGTCCTGAGTGACCTACAAAGAGACTTAGACTCCCACACATTAATAATGGGAGACTTTAACACCCCACTGTCAACATTAGACAGATCAACGAGACAGAAAGTCAACAAGGATACCCAGAAATTGAACTCAGCTCTGCACCAAGTGGACCTAATAGACATCTACAGAACTCTCCACCCCAAATCAATAGAATATACATTTTTTTCAGCACCAGACCACACCTATTCCAAAATTGACCACATAGTTGGAAGTAAAGCTCTCCTCAGCAAATGTAAAAGAACAGAAATTATAACAAACTATCTCTCAGACCACAGTGCAATCAAACTAGAACTCAGGATTAAGAATCTCACTCAAAACCGCTCAACTACATGGAAACTGAACAACCTGCTCCTGAATGACTACTGGGTACATAATGAAATGAAGGCAGAAATAAAGATGTTCTTTGAAACCAACAAGAACAAAAACACAACATACCAGAATCTCTGGGACGCATTCAAAGCAGTGTGTAGAGGGAAATTTATAGCACTAAATGCCCACAAGAGAAAGCAGGAAAGATCCAAAATTGACACCCTAACATCACGATTAAAAGAACTAGAAAAGCAAGAGCAAATACATTCAAAAGCTAGCAGAAGGCAAGAAATAACTAAAATCAGAGCAGAACTGAAGGAAATAGAGACACAAAAAATTAATGAATCCAGGAGCTAGTTTTTTGAAAGGATCAACAAAATTGATAGGCCGCTAGCAAGACTAATAAAGAAAAAAAGAGAGAAGAATCAAAAGACACAATACAAAATGATAAAGGGGATATCACCACCGATCCCACAGAAATACAAACTACCATCAGAGAATGCTACAAACACCTCTACGCAAATAAACTACAAAATCTAGAAGAAATGGATAAATTCCTGGACACATACACTCTCCCAAGACTAAACCAGGAAGAAGTTGAATCTCTGAATAGATCAATAACAGGATCTGAAATTACGGCAATAATCAATAGCTTACCAACCAAGAAGAGTCCAGTACCAGATGGATTCACAGCTGAATTCTACCAGAGGTACAAGGAGGAACTGGTACCATTCCTTCTGAAACTATTCCAATCAATACAAAAAGAGGGAATCCTCCCTAACTCATTTTATGAGGCCAGCATCATCCTGATACCAAAGTCGGGCAGAGACACAATCAAAAAAGAGAATTTTACACCAATATCCTTGATGAACATTGATGCAAAAATCCTCAATAAAATACTGCCAAACCGAATCCAGCAGCACATCAAAAAGCTTATCCACCATGATCAAGTGGGCTTCATCCCTGGGATGCAAGGCTGGTTCAATATACGCAAATCAATAAATGTAATCCAGCATATAAACAGAACCAAAGACAAAAACCGCATGATTATCTCAATAGATGCAGAAAAGGCCTTTGACAAAATTGAACAACCTTCATGCTAAAAACTCTCAATAAATTAGGTATTGATGGGACACATTTCAAAATAATAAGAGCTATCTATGACAAACCCACAGCCAATATCATACTGAATGGACAAAAACTGGATGCATTCCCTTTGAAAACTGGCAAAAGACAGGGATGACCTCTCTCACCACTCCTATTCAACATAGTGTTGGAAGCTCTGGTCAGGGCAATCAGGCAGGAGAAGGAAATAAAGGGTATTCAATTAGGAAAAGAGGAAGTCAAATTGTCCCTGTTTGCAGACGACATGATTGTATATCTAGAAAACCCCATTGTCTCAGCCCAAAATCTCCTTAAGCTGATAAGCAACTTCAGCAAAGTCTCAGGATACAAAATCAATGTACAAAAATCACAAGCATTCTTATACACCAATAACAGACAAACAGAGAGCCAAATCATGAGTGAACTCCCATTCACAATTGCTTCAAAGAGAATAAAATACCTAGGAATCCAACTTACAAGGGATGTGAAGGACCTCTTCAAGGAGAACTACAAACCACTGCTCAAGGAAATAAAAGAGGATACAAACAAATGGAAGAACATTCCATGCTCATGGGTAGGAAGAATCAATATCGTGAAAATGGCCATACTGCCCAAGGTAATTTACAGATTCAATGCCATCCCCATCAAGCTACCAATGACTTTCTTCACAGAATTGGAAAAAACTACTTTAAAGTTCATATGGAACCAAAAAAGAGCCCGCATCGCCAAGTCAATCCTAAACCAAAAGAACAAAGCTGGAGGCATCACACTACCTGACTTCAAACTATACTACAAGGCTACAGTAACCAAAACAGCATGGTACTGGTACCAAAACAGAGATATAGATCAAAGGAACAGAACAGAGCCCTCAGAAATAACGCCGCATATCTGCAACTATCTGATCTTTGACAAACCTGAGAAAAACAAGCAATGGGGAAAGGATTCCCTATTTAATAAATGGTGCTGGGAAAACTGGCTAGCCATATGTAGAAAGCTGAAACTGGATCCCTTCCTTACACCTTATACAAAAGTCAATTCAAGATGGATTAAATACTTAAACGTTAGACCTAAAACCATAAAAACCCTAGAAGAAAACCTAGGCATTACCATTCAGGACATAGGCATGGGGAAGGACTTCATGTCTAAAACACCAAAAGCAATGGCAACAAAAGCCAAAATTGACAAATGGGATGTAATTAAACTAAAGAGCTTCTGCACCGCAAAAGAAACTACCATCAGAGTGAACAGGCAACCTACAAAATGGGCGAAAATTTTCGCAACCTACTCATCTGACAAAGGGTTAATATCCAGAATCTACAATGAACTCAAACAAATTTACAAGAAAAAAACAAACAACCCCATCAAAAAGTGGGCGAAGGACATGAACAGACACTTCTCAAAAGAAGACATTTATGCAGCCAAAAAACACACCATCACTGGCCATCAGTGAAATTTTCACACCATGAAAAAATGCTCACCATCACTGGCCATCAGAGAAATGCAAATCAAAACCACAATGAGATACCATCTCACACCAGTTAGAATGGCAATCATTAAAAAGTCAGGAAACAACAGGTGCTGGAGAGGATGTGGAGAAATAGGAACACTTTTACACTGTTGGTGGGACTGTAAACTAGTTCAACCATTGTGGAAGTCAGTGTGGTGATTCCTCAGGGATCAAGAACTAGAAATACCATTTGACCCAGCCATCCCATTACTGGGTATATACCCAAAGGACTATAAATCATGCTGCTATAAAGACACATGCACACGTATGTTTATTGTGGCATTATTCACAATAGCAAAGACTTGGAAACAACCCAAATGTCCAACAATGATAGACTGGATTAAGAAAATGTGGCACATATACACCATGGAATACTATGCAGCCATAAAAAATGATGAGTTCATGTCCTTTGTAGGGACATGGATGAAATTGGAAATCATCATTCTCAGTAAACTATCGCAAGAACAAAAAAACCAAACACCACATATTCTCACTCATAGGTGGGAATTGAACAATGAGAACACATGGACACAGGAAGGGGAACATCACACTCTGGGGACTGTTGTGGGGTGGGGGGAGGGGGGAGGGATAGCATTGGGAGATATACCTAATGCTAGATGACGAGTTAATGGGTGCAGCACACCAGCATGGCACATGTATACATATGTAACTAACCTGCACATTGTGCACATGTACCCTAAAACTTAAAGTATAATAATTTAAAAAAGAGTTATAATTCCCATCCTTGATAATATGTTTAATCATTAACATATCTGAAAATATTTCTGCCCTCCAAATTTTAATAAAAATATTTTTTATTAAAAAACAACTATTGATTTTGTATCCACCTTTGACAGAATTTCTATGACATGAATCTTTATCCATTTTATTTACTGATATTCTCCTAAACCCTTAGATCAGTGCATGGAACAAAATATTAATAGGTACTAATTAATAGCAATACTCTTTCTCTTCTTGTCCCATAGTTATTTTCTTATCTCCACCACTGCAAAAAGAGCAGCCTCTCATTAAGCCTCCCATAATAGATTGGCAGTTTCTTGAGATCTTATTCATTTTCTTAAGCAACTAAATGAGAAAAGGATTAGGAAAAGGTTTAAACTGGAGGCAATAAGATGTTGAATGAATGGAAAATAAGCCTATGAAGTTGAAGGAACTTAGACAATTTAGTCAAAAAAAAAAAAAACCCCAAGAAAACTAGAGAGAACAAATAGTCATAAACAATGCTGGTTAGGCAAGAGGTTCATCACAAAATAGCTGATAACAGTGATAGAGGCCGGAGGCAGAGAAATGCTAGGCAGGCAGGGGCGGGTCCCTGGCAAAACTCCACCTTCGAGCCAAAATTCCTGAAACCCACGGCCCAAAGTGAGAATTTCTATCCCTATTTGCCTGCTCTCTCCTGATTGGTTATTTCTGAATATTGTCTTTTTACCAAACAAGTATTGCCCCCCATCCTGTGCCTATAAAGACCCCAGACTCAGTTAGTAGGGGAGAGAACTGGCTCGACTGGAGGTGACTTGACTTCAGAGGGACGGCTGGACTTTGGAGGAGAGAGGGCTTAACTTCGGAGAAGAGCCAGCCAGAGCCAGACAGACTTCAGGGAAGATTATCTGCCCGTCCTGTCCCCTCTCCTGCTCCCTTCTACACTGAAAGTCACTCCATCGCTAAATAAAATTCTCTGCCTCCACCATCCTCCAAGTGACTTCATTCTTCTTGGATGCCAGACAAGAGCTCAGGACCCACCAAGTATGAGCACCCAAAAAAGGCTGTCACACTGGCCCTTTGCCCTCCCTGGAGGAGGGCAGCCACCCCACACAACAAGGGAAGGGATCCAGTGAGCTGATAACACACCACTGTCCACAGACAGCAGAGCTAAGAGAGCATTACAACACACCCCCTCAGGCTTCCAGGGTTGTAGGCACCCCAACCTGGGTGCCACAGGGCTCACACAAAGCCTGCTCCTGCCAGTGCCCAAAGCAGCCAGCCATATCCTGCACTCATTCGCTCACACCTGGTCTGGCTGCAGGGATGGCATGAAGCCTGCTCCTGCTGGTGCCCAAAGCAGCTGGACAGATCCCACATTCACTCGCTTACACACTCCTTCCCACAAGATGTTAAAATTTTTTGTAAAGATGGAGTCTCGCTTGGTTGCTCAGGCTGGTCTTGAACTCCTGGCCTCAAGTGATGTTTCCACCTTGGCCAAAGCGCTAGGATTACAGGCATGAGCCACCATGCCTGGCCATTTGTCTGTGCGGTGGGTCAAATAAATGAGGCACTTCTGTCACAAGTCTGACAAAGGGATCAAGAAAAAGTCCTACAACAATAGTACAGGTGGTGGGAGAATCGGGAAGACAGGCAGCTGGGAACTGTTGTGCTGAGAAGCACAATGGATGATGTCCAAAGAATGTGGTGAACTCCTCTATGTGGCAGGTAACATACGTAAAATTTGTAAGCAAGCAGGCAATGGTTTCATGACTGATGGGAAGCCAGTAATATTTACAGTGAGAGAGGCTTATACTTATTGAGCACTTTCTACATATCTCACATGTGTTGTCTCATTTAATTCTTACAATTCTGTAAGGTAAATACTATTATAGTCAGCCTTCCATATCCAGGGGTTCCTCATACTCAGATTCAACCAACCTAGAAAATATTCAAAAATAAATACATAAATACAGTAAACAAAATACAAATAAAACAAATGGCCAGGCACAGTGGCTGATGCCTGTAATCCTAGCACTTTGGCCAAGGCAGAAGGATCACTTGAGGCCAGGAGTTTAAGACCATCCTGGGCAACAAAGCAAGACTCTGTCTCTACAAAAATTTTAAAAATTAGCCAGGTGTGATGTGTGCCTATGGTCCCAATGGCTGAGGCAGAAGAACTGCTTGAGCCCAGGAGTTTGAAATTACAGTGAGTTATGATCACATCACTGCATTCTAGTCTGGGCAACATTGAGACCCTGTCTCTTAAAATACATATATATATACACACACACACATATTTATTTATTTATATTTCATATATGTTGTACATAATATATATAGTATAACAATTATTTACATAGCAATTTAGAGATTAATAAGTATGTAAGATATGTGTAGGCTATATGCAAATACCTCATAATTTTATATAAAAGACTTGAGCATCCTCAGACTTTGGTATCTAAGGGGGATCCTGGAACCAACCCCCAACAGATACTGAGGGATTACTATACTTCTTTGCCTTACAGATGAAGAAACTAAGGTAAGAAAAATGAAGAAGATAAGATGAAGAAATTATGGTGTGGTTATGTCACTTGCCCAAGCCCACCCAGGTAGAGAGTGCACAAGCCAGCTTCCAACCTAGGCAGTTTAAATCCAGAGCTGGCTGCTGGCAACACAGTATACTCCACTCCATGTGCTATAGGAACAGTCAGTGGTAGAGAGTCCAGAGAGCAGGCCATAGGCAAGAAGGGGCAAGAACCAGGCAGTAAGTCAGTGGGCTAAAAGTTGTGGGCTAAGGCTCAAGACAGACCACAGATCCAGTGAAAAACTGGAACATTATGCTGGTAAACTGAGGCAGAAGCTAGCATGTCAGGGGAAGGAAGGAGAGGCTCCAACAGAGTCACACAGCACTCACATCTAATACACCAAATACAACCTGTGTGTGGTAGGACTCAAGCCAGATGCGGGAAAATAAGACTAAGGCCACTGACATACTTCCAGGCCTGTGCAGTACTGTGGCAAGAAAGAGGCTAAACCTGCAGCAGGGTACCTGGGAAGATCAGCTAATCAGGCATTGCTAGCCCTCACACATTCCACTAGCCCAGGGCTCAGAAACTGAAGATAACTTAAGAAGAGCCTGAGCACCATCCCAACACTGAACAAGGAAGAAACTGAATCCCTGAACAGATCAATAACGAATTCTGAAATTAAGGCAGTCATAAATAGCCTACCAACCCAAAACAGGCCAGGACCAGAAGGGGTCACAGCTGAATTCTACCAGATATACATAGAAGAGTTGGTACCATTCCTACTGAAACTATTCCAAAAAATTGAGGAGGAGGGACTCCTTTCTAACTCATTCTATGAGGCCAGCATTATCATCCTGATACCAAAACCTGGCAGAGATATAACAAAAAAAGAAAACTTCAGGCGAATATCCTTGATGAACATCAATGCAAAAATCCTCAACAAAATACTGGTAAACCAAATCTAGCAGCACATCAAAAAGCTTATCAACCATGATCAAGTAGGCTTCATCCTTGGGATGCAAGTTTGTTTCAATGCATGCAAATCAATAAACGTGATTCATCATATAAACAGAACTAAAGACAAAAACTACACAATTATCTTAATAGATGCAGAAAAACCTTTTGATAAAGTTCAGCATCCATTCATGTTAAAAACTCTCAATAAACTAGGTACTGAAGGAATATACCTCAAAATAATAAGATCCATATATGACAAACCCACAGCCAATATCATACTGAATAGGCAAAAGTTGGAAGCATTCCCCTTGAAAATCAACACAAGACAAAGATGCCCTCTCTCACCACTCTTATTCAACATAATATTGGAAGTCCTGGCCAGAGGAGTCAGGCAAGAGAAAGAAATTAAAGGGCATCCAAACAGGAAGAGAGGAAGTCAAACTCTCCTTGTTTGCAGACAACATAATCCTGTATCTAGAAAACCCCATTGTTTCAGCCCAAAAGCTTCTTAAACTGATAAATAACTTCAGAAAAGTCTCAGGATACAAAATTAATGTCCAAAAATCACTAGCACTCCTATACACCAACAACAGTCCGGCCAAGAGCCAAATCAGGAACTAAGTCTCATTCACAATTGCCACAAAAAGAATAAAATACCTAGGAATACAGCTCACTAGGGAGGTGAAAGATCTCTACAAGGAGAACTACAAACCACTGCTCAAACAAATCAGAGATGAAAGAAGCAAATGCCAAAACATTCCATGCTCATGGATAGGAAAAATCAATATCGTGAAAATGGCCATACTGCCCAAAGCAATTTATAGATCCAACACTATTCCTATTAAACTACAATTGACCATTCTTCACAGAAATATCAAAAACACTTAAAAATTCATATGGAACCAAAAAAGAACTGGAATAGCCAAGGCAATCCTAAGCAAAAGGAACAAAGCTGGAGGCATCACACTACCCAACTTCAAACTATACTACAGGGCTACAGTAACCAAAAAAGCATGGTACTGGTACAAAAACAGTTACCTAGACCAGTGGAGCAGAATAGAGAACCCAGAAATAAGACCACACACCTACAACCATCTGATCTTTGACAAACTTGACAGAAACAAGCAATGGTGAAAGGATTCCCTATCCAATAAATAGCGCTGGGAAAACTGACTAGCCATATGCAGAAGATTGAAACTGGACCCCTTCCTTACACCACATACAAAAATTAACTCAAGATGGATTAAAGACTTCAATGTAAAACCAAAAACTATGAAAATCCCAGAAGACAACCTTGGCAATACCATTCAGGACATAGGCACGGGCAAAGATTTCATGATAAAAGACACTAAAAGCAATTGCAACAAAAACAAAAATAGACAAATGGGATCCAATTAAATTAAAGAGCTTCTGCACAAAAGAAACTATCAACAGAGTAAAAAGACAACCTACAGAATGGGAGAAAATATTTGCAAACTATGCATCTGACAAAGGTCTAATATCTAGCATCTATAAGGAACTTAAACAAATTTACAAGAAAAAACAAACCCCATTAAAAAGTGGGCAAAGGACATGAACAGACACTTCTCTAAAGAAGACATACATGTGCCCAACAATTACATGAAAAAGCTCAAATTACTGATCATTAGAGAAATGCAAATCAAAACCACAAGGAGATACCATCTCACACCAGTCAGAATGGCTATTGTTAAAAAGTCAAAAAATAACAGATGATGGTAAGGTTGTAGAGAAAAATGAATACTTACTCACTGTTGGTGGGAGTGTAAATTAGTTCAACCATTATGGAAGACAGTGTGGTGATTCCTTAAAGACTAAAGACAGAAATACCATTTGGCCCAGCAATCCCATTACTGAGTATATACCCAGAGGAATATAAATCATTCTATTATAAAGATGCATGCATGCATATGTTCATTGCAACACTATTTGCAAGAGCAAAAACATGGAATCAACCTAAATGCCCATCAATGATAGACTAGATAAACAAAATGTGGTACATATACACCATGGAATACTATGCAGCCATAAAAAAGAATGAGATGATGCCCTGTGCAGGGACATGGATGGAGCTGGAGGCCATTACCCTTAGCAAACTAACACAGGAACAGAAAACCAAATACCACATGTTGTCACTTGTAAGTAGGAGCTAAATGATGAGGATACATGGACATATAGAGGGGAACAACACACTGTGGCCTTCAGAGTGGGGAGGAGGGAAAGAATCAGGAAAAATAACTAATGGGAACTAGGTTTAATACCTGGGTGATGAAATAATCTGTACAACAAACCCCATGGCACAAGTTTACCTATATAACAAACCTGCACTTGTACCTCTGAACTTAAAGTAAAAGTTAAAAAAAAAAAAAAAAGACTTTGAGCTCATCCTACCTTGAAATCCCAATTAAGAACTGGGTGTGGCTCATGAACTCCACAGCAGACACAACTAATTCAAAAAGGCTAATATTATAACTAAATCAGAGCCCTCCAAAGCTCCAAAGCTCATAGTGAGCAAACTATGAAAGCTCAAAGAGCTTCCCCATTCACTTAGGATAAATCATTTCTTTGGAAATCATTTCTTTGGAAAGGCTCAATTATTTAGATCAAAGTCTCCTAGAATCACCTACAAAGCTTTTAAGACATATTCCTGGGTCCTACGTCAAACTTAATCAAAATATCAGGTGGCAGTGCAAAGGAAATTATATTTTTTTAAAAGGACCCTGGAGAATTTCGATGATCTTTATGACTCATATGCATGAATAAATGCAAAAGACTGCCAACAGGAGTCTATTGGCAAGAATTTTTTCCAAGAGTAGCATCTTTCACCAGCTCTGACAGAGACAATGCCACTGCCCTGTTTAGATCACTAGTGTGGGGTTGTCACTTCATTTCATGTGATCAAGTACTTTAGGGATCTGCTGGACCCAACCAAAACTAGCCCTTCATTCAGATGGTAGAGGCCATCTGGAGTCAGACACTTCTGCTGCAGACGGTAATGGAAAGGGTCTTAAACTGGGCCTTCAAACAAGAGGATTTGAGAATGATGCAGTCAACTGTGGATATATAGGAAATAGCTTACTAAATGGCTAAATAAAATGGAAACAAGATTGCAGCTATCACACAGAGAGGTTTGGGTAGTGACTAAGAATTCCTCTTCCCTAAAGTAATGACAGTTGTTCAGCAGGAATGGTTAGGCCAATGGCTTTGTTCCCCTCCCTTTCCCTGGGTCTTGTTCTATCACCTTCCTTTGTCCTTTTCTGTGTGGCAGGGATTGAGACAGTGGAGGGCTGATGTTAAAGCTCTGGGACCAGTCTCTCTAAATAAGAATAACAGTTAACTTTTACTAAGCCCTTAGGACTGTAGGGCTTTGTCCTCAATTGTTTACAAGCATTATTTCATTTAATGAACAACTTTAGGTCATTTGAATGACTTGAGCAGCAAAGGAGCCTCTGATGATTTATTCTAAAGATCCAAAGTTTCTTGTCCTTATCTTCCAGTATACATGGAGGTTCCCTGCACAGTAAATGGCAAAAAGCTATTTCTACCTCCTTTTAGGGCAGCTTCAGAGGAAGTTTACTTGAATCACACCTTCCATGATTGAGATTAGGTAAAGGATGAAGTTACTGATAATGAGGTTAGGTCTTTCACTGTGGCCTGAGTACCACATAACCCATTCTGGTATCTTCTTCCATCTGAATAGCTGATGTCTACAAAATCAATTAAACTGGCTATATTTTGGCCAAAACAAAGAGGAATATGGTTACAGAGTTGGATCAACCTTGTCAACAACTGCTTTTTTCTGTTATTTAAATACAATCTAAGTTGCTAAACACTAGAATTAATAATAAGGAAAAGTTGGGCTCTCTTTAAGGATTTTTTTTTAATGTTATGTCTTTTCTGAAGATGTTTTCAGTGGGTCTTTGTCAAGAAGATAGGGACAAGGAAGAAAGAACCAAGGTCTCTTCTGGTCAAGGAATGTGATGATTCTATCATATTCAGATGCAATTTCTTTTTGGTGCCTAGCATATCTTCTTCAAACTTAAAATGAGGAGTATTGTTGATGATTTGCCACAGGTTAAAGTAGAGAATGTATCACCCTTTCATATAATAGGTCTTTTTTTTTTTTTTTTTTTTTTTTTTTTTTTGAAACAGAGTCTCTGTTGCCCAGGCTGGAGTGCAATGGCACAATAATAGCTCACTGCAGCCTGGAACTCTTGAGTGCAAATGATCCTCTTGCCTCAGCCTCCCAAGTAGCTGGGAATACAGGCACCTGGCTAATTGTTTTTTTTTTCTTATAGAAACAGGGGTGTCTCTATGTCACCCAGGCTGGCCTCCAGCGATCCTCTCACCTGGGCCTCCTAAAGTGCTGGGATTATAGGTGAGCCACTACACCTGGCCAGAATTCTACCTTAGAACACTTTTACAAGTGTTCTAAAGACAAGCTGATCAAGAAACCTTAATTGGGGGAGAAAAAACAAAACAGCAAACCACACCAAGTGTGTTTGCAAACCAGCATTTCCTAGAGCCATGTGGCTGCATTTTGGTCAAAATGCTGCATTTGCAAAAATGACTGACACAAGATACAGCCTAAATCCAACCATTTCACCCTTTTCTTGCACAATGACCTTGGCTCTGAGCCAAAGTCCCAAAAAGCAAGAAGAAGTTACCATTCCAGGCAGCTAAATATAGTAAGAGAAATGGAATACTCATTTTTTTCAAGGCAAGCAGGCCATTGTAAGAAGCAAAACAAGAATTTGGGTTTGCTGGATGATTTAAATAACTATAAGGAAGACTTTTGTAGCCTAATTACTTCACAAGAGCTAACAGCCAATGGAGAGTAATATGCAAGCCTCTGTATTGCTTGTTGTAATACACAAGTCCAAACCGTAGAGAACCAATGTCACGTAATTTAAAAATAAAACATGTAAACAAGTTGGCAGGTTTGCTGAGCCTGACTTCTTGCCCAAGCTCTTCACAGTAGAGTGAGGAAAAGTCATGATTTAAAGTCAAACAGCTAGCGTTCAACACCCAGCTCACTTCACCTCTCTCAACTTTTCTCCATATCTTTATCAGTAAAATGGGAATGATAATTCTATCTACCTCATAAGATCACTGAAAGTATTAAATATTTCACTACATAAATGTTTGCTGGCATTAGAAAGACTCGCAGCACAGCTCTCTTCTAAGTGTATCTTATTTTCAGCCTATATCAGGAGAAGGAGATATGGCAGTAATGGAATCAAATGTCCCTTGGACCAGAAAGGAAAAAAAAAAAAAGGTCACCCTACTGTAAAAGATTTGCAGTCCTTTGTGCCCTAGAATCTTCTTAAATTTCATCAGTCTCCTAGTGAGTATTACTGGCTCCCTTAGTCATATATATGAGTTAAACAATTTCTAATGCCACTCTCTCAATGCCAAATCTTTGGAAATTCACTGGGCATAAGGGGTGGATCAACATGACTACATTATTAGTCAGAGAACAAACATTCTAGGTAAGTAATTTGGTTTTCTCCCAAAGATTAAATACGTTTCCACCTGTGGAGACTAATGGGCTCCAGGGATCTTTTTCTGTGTATTTAACAACAAGATAACTAAGTGGCAAAGTCAATAATCAGACAGTAGGTGCAAGTAACCAACTAACTTCCTTACAAATAGTTTTTCCTTGAGGGAAATAAGGCATGCCTTTAAGACAAGGGCTCTGTAATCTGAAACATGAGGACAGGAAGATTGCCAACCAGGAATAGGTTCTAGTAGAGCAATCAGCTCAAACTCTAATCTTTGCAGGGAATGGAGTTCAGGACACAAACTTCTTTGAGCTTGGTCAGCCAGGCAAAAAGCCTAGGACTTTGAATAGTTTCTTCTCTCAATCTACCAAATCTAAACAATTACCCTAGTGATTTTCCCTTTGAAATATATTCATAGTTTCTTCTTCTTTTCTATCTGTACTTATCTCTCTCATTTTACCATCTCCTGCCTAGATACCCATGGGCCTCATAAGTAGTTTTCCAGACCCTTCAAACCCATACTGCCAAACACTGTCCAAGTGACAGTATCAAACAGGCCTCTGTTAAGATACGCTGTAGCTCAAAATGCAAGGTGCAGCTCCCTGTGGTCTCTAAGTCTGACCTCTTTTATCACACTTCTAAGGTCCTGCATAATCTTACAGCACCCTACCAGCTGGGCTTATTTTCCAGTCAGACTGGCTTCCTCGCCAGGCACCCATGAACACGCAAGACATGCTCCACCCTGCCCATTGTCCCTTCACTACTTAACAGCTGCTGCTGGCTCTTAGTGGAATGCCCTGCTTCTCCAAATGCACACAAAGCCATACTCATTCTTCAGGACCTAGATTTAACCTTTTCTTCCTCCTGCACTGCTCAATAAACATTTTCTCTGTACCATGTACTGTATCACTTAACAAAACAGCTGTATATTGTTCACCTGTTTCATATATGCCCTAGACTTGTCTCCATAACTAAATAAAGAATTGGGTCACCGAATGCTGATCCTCATGCCAAATATGATCCCAAACACATCTAGTTTGGTCCCTCATTTTTTTTATTTTAATTTGAGAAATGTAACACAACCCCCAGCACTGCCTATAGAATTTTCTCAATGATATCAATCTTCACACATCAATCTTTAAATTTTTTAAATTAAGAATAACAATATCTGAATATGTGTCAATAAAACCTCTAAATCTTGACTGTAGGAGAAAAGGCATTGGGTGAATTGGAAAAATCGCCGAACAATGATTAAGGAGATCTGGATTCTAGGCCCCACTCTGCCGCTAAATAGCTCTGTGATCCTAGTTAAGCTACACGGTGTCTCTCCAAAATGAAGGGGTTGGACTGGGTGACACTATGGTCTCTTTCAGCTCTTTCTATGATTCTAAAGCTGCCAATGTGGCATTAGAGCCTGGTTTGATCATGTCTGAAAAGTAGAATTTAAGAGGTTTTTCTTCCGGAAATAGAAAAGCTTCAGGGTCTTCCCTTTATAATCACAATATTAGTTAGGAAAGTTGGCCTCAAATTATTCCCCTTTATGAGATAGTATGTTATAGTAATCTTCTAGGTCAAATACAAAAGAGACAATGGGTTAATTTTCACTCTTTGAAAGTTATCATGTATATTTTAAACCAACTCAGTAATGGCCCATCTTAAATTTGGGTGTCATGAAGCTACACGATGAAGCTACATGAAAACCTAAGCCTAACTCAAGTTTGGAAGGGGAAGAGTTGAGGATGTATATTGAATGCCATGTTAGAGACCCAAGAGAATTTTATACATAAATCCTGAAAGAGCAAATGTTTTTCCTGCTTTCTAGTCAAATGTATATTTTAAGCAGTAAGAAATACTAACAAAATCTGCCATAAATTCCTGAGAATTTTTTTATTTCTTTTTATTTTCCAGTGGTCTTGAGGATAAGAGCATCGCTTTGAAAGAATAAAAAACAGAAAGCAAGTTATAATAAGGTACCTGTGAAAGATAATTTATAAAGCAATACATATATGCAGGAGAGTTTTCTAAGGGAGAGGAGTAGACAAGAAGGAAATGATGTCAAAGGGGTGTCTTCAAAGGATGTCAGTCAAATGAGAATGGTAAGTGTGTCACAAAATTAGTCACAGTGTGATTCTGCTTTGGGGATTTCATTCATTCATTCATCACTCATTTATTCATCAAGTGCTTAGGTCATGTGCTGGGCACTTAGGTTATGATAAAGGGAAAGACCTTCCCTGCAAGAACTCACCATCAAATGGAGACAGCCAAGGTCTGATTTGGTACTAACCCTGACTGAGTGCTCACTGTGTGCCAGGTACTAAGCACACCAACCCCACGAGGCAGGTGCCATTGTTATTCCTGTATCACATGAAGAAATCATGGCTTTAAGAGATTCAGGGCCAGGTACGATGGCTCATGCCTGTAATCCCAGCACTTTGGGAGGCTGAGGCAGGAGGATCACGAGTCCAGGAGCTTGAGACTAGTCTTGGCAACATAATGAAACCCTGTCTCTACTAAAAATACAAAAATTAGCTGGGCGTGATGGTGCACACCTGTAGTTCCAGCTACTCGGGGGACTGAGGTGGGAGGATCACTTGAGCCTGGGAGGGCAAAGCTACAGTGAGCCCTGATCGTGCCACTGCACTCCAGCCTGGGTGACAGAGTAAGACCCTATCTCAAAAAAAAAAAAAAAAAAAGGCCAGGCATGGTGGCTCATGCCTGTAATTCCAGCACTTTGGGAGGCCAAGGTGGGTGGATCACCAGAGGTCAGAAGTTCAAGATCTGCCAGCCTAACATGGAGAAACCCCATCTCCACTAAAAATACAAAAAAATTAGCCAGGCATGGTGGCGCGTGACTGTAATCCCAGCTACTCAGGAGGCTGAGGCAGGAGAATCGCTTGAACCTGGGAGGTAGAGGTTGCAGTGAGCCAAGCTTGTGCCACTGCACTCCAGCCTGGGCGACAGAGCGAGGGTCTGTCTCAAAAAAAAAAAAAAGAGAGAGATTCAGTAACATGCCTGAGATTACCCAGCTAAAAATGAGCAAGGCTGGCTTTCAAATCCAGGCCTGTCTGTCTCCAAAGCCAGCAGCCTCCACCCCAACCCTACACTACAAACAGACGGCAATAAGTAGTAATGGAGACAGGTGCAATCTACTGTAATGTACCTTCCCCCCAGGCATCTCTCTCCTCACCAAAATGCACCTGGGAACCTGCACACAGGAACATATTCCAAAAGCTGGGAACAATGGATGGGCATCTGGTCTCTCACTAGAGCTCAGAAGAACTCAGTCCTCCTCTGTGGACTTGAGGCCATGGCCTCAAGCTTCGGCAGCATCTGAAGTTGATGTATGTGTGTACAACTACAGCAACTAGATGGAGGCCACAGGGGAACCAAAGCAAAACACTTTAGTTGCTTCCTGTTCTCTGCTGATCTCCCAAAAGAAACACACGCACACACACACACTCCATTCCACAGAAGTTCCCTCAGAAGGTACTTTATTTTAAAAATACCCTCTTCTTCTCACCAACACAGACATGATTTTTAATATATGTTTTAAAAACAAAACATAAAAAAGTCTTTTAAAAAAATTTTTCAACCTCTTCCGGAAAGTGAAGGCCCCAGGAGACCTTGGGGAAAAAGATTCTAGGTAGCTCCATGGCTGTTTAGTCCCCCTGAACTAAACAGCTGCCAGAACTAAGAGGACCCCAGAGAGGCCTAATGGTCACAGCCACTAAGAAGTGTGAAGCTAGCTTGGGGAGCTCTGGGGAGGATGCTGCCAGCTCAGTGGGAACTAATGGCCCCACCTGCTCTAACACCAGCTCAGAGACTGTTTTAAATTACAACACTGGTAGAGGTTTTGTTTATTTGCTTTGTGGTACCTTGTTCTCTCTTTTTGTTGTTTAACTTAGTAAGCCATAGAACCTTCAGTCAGCTGCAAGGGGAAGACATGCTCTCAAGAAGGACAAAGGAACAAGTTTTGGCTGCCATAAGGTACTAGAGACCCGTATCCCACCAACATAACAACCTGAAGCCTTGCAAGGGGAAGGGAATTAGCTTTCATCAAGGCTTGATTAAGGATTATGGCCTAGGCATCGTGCTAGGGACCTTACTTAACCTTCACAATAACTCTTGAGATACTATTAATCTCTTTTACCAGGGGGAAGGAAAAAAAATAAGATTAGCACACTGGGATACCACCAAATAATTTGCAGAGTGTCACACAGCTAATTAGTGGGGGAGGAACTAAAGGTCTGACTCCAAAGCCCAGTCAGAGAATATCCTTTCTGTGGAAAGCAAGAAATAAGAAGAAATACGAATGAGAAGATAAAAAATCAACATCTTCTATTTACTTATCATTTATTTAGTTACCTATTTACTTGAAGAATAATTATATGCACAAGAGAAACATTTTAAGCTTTATAAAAAAGCATACAGTGAAAAGTAAGTCTCCTTCAATCCTTCTCTCTTGATTTCCCAATTCCCTTCATCAGAGGCAACTGTTGGTAATAGTATGTCAAGAAAGGCTACACATACACAAACAAAAACACGCACATGTATACATACAGCCCTTTTTAAACACAAATGGCAGTATTGGTCTTCCCCTTCTTTGTTAACTAGTACATCATAGAAATTTTCCATATTGGAACATTTAGACCCACCTTATCCTTTTAACAATTATTAAAATAATCTATTGTATGGATGTATGATAACTTATTTAACTCATCCTCTATTAAGTGGACCTTTTGTTAAATTGTTTTCCATCCTTTTCTTTGTAAACAATACTATATAAATATCCTTGTACATTCTTCCTTGATCACATATGCTAGTATACTTTTGGGATACATTCTCAGAAGTAAAATTCCTCCCTCAAGAGTATGTGCATTTTAAATATTGATAAACATAACAAAATTGCCTCCAGAAGGCTATGCACTGGTTTATAATCCTCGAAATATATATTCATTCCTACTTCCTCCACTGTTACAAAACAGTGTTGCATTCTGTGTTTAAAAGAAAAACACCTATGTGTTCACCTACTCCTTTAAAAGTCATATACTTCCTTCAGTGCGAAGAGGGGAAATTTATTTATTCAGGCCTGGGCATATTCCCAGAGTTAAAAAAAAAAAAAAAAAAAAAAGATTTTTGGAGCTCCTTGCACTGCAAAGGATGCTGACTGAAAGCATCTGATCCCCAATTAGATGATGCTGACAAAGTAGGAAAATGGAATAAATCCCTGAAAACAAGCAGTTGGCTGTAACTAATCACCTCAATCCACCAGAGCACTGTCAGAGTCACCCCTGGGTATCCCAGCAACCCCACCAGCCTGCTGCACAACAAGGCCAGGCCAGGCTGTGATCCAGGAAGGGATGCCTGCCCCAAGCAGGAGCATTCAAAATCCAGTATCTGTCCCTGTTTCTCGGGGAAAAGGATCATGGGGAGGGACAATACATCAGAAACCTAACACTAAAGAGAGACTGACAAGTATCGGGCAGTGCTTCCTGATATACTGAAACAAAAGGAAAATGGATATTCTAGAAAAATGAAACATCCTCCATTATATTTTCCACTATATAAAAACTTTCTAGAGTGAATAAATCCCTGATGGATTTGCAACACTAATATCTTCATCCAGTGGAGCAGTCCAATCCAACTTGTAGGATCCAGGCAGGAATCCTGGGCTTCACAGGCTGAGAGAATTCTGCCGCCACACATTCTCTCATTGTCTTAGCTCTCCTTACTTGGGTCTGCTAAAAGCCTGGGTCTGCCATCCTTTCAGGATGCAAATATAAAATGTTCCCCTTGCTGAGCTGTTGATTGTCAAGATCTGGGAAAAAGAATACACTGGCAGCCATGGCCTGGAGAGGACATAGAGAAAGAGCAGTGGCTTAGATGGGCATCGAGGGTTAACTGACATGAGGGGTAATTTGTCTCCGGAGGGAGTGATGAGGTCCCAGTTGCAGTCACATTAATGGATTGCTTGTAGCCTGGCTTTATTTTTTGAGTGTGTGCACAAATATTACACAACTAAAACAACAAGTAAGTACGCATTACTAACACCACCTGTCAAAGATTTTTAAACCAGGATGTTGCTGTATAGAGCTGAGTATTTTAACCCCTTAGGTGTCTTCCAGCAAGCAGCAGAATGCCTTGTAATTATTACCTGTGTTTTTCCCAATTAGCAACCAACAGCATATTGTCATGGAGGCATTGTTGGGAGTTGTTTGCCTCTATGCAGATGCATTCTGATGCTTAAGTGTAGGTTTCCTGGCTTGATACATGTTATTATAAAAATTACAGGGCTGAAAGAATGATTTCAGATGAACTTGTTTCACTCCATCTGATCTGAAGCAGCATCTGGGTCAGCCTCACAGTTGGAGGTTGCTGGGTAGAGGTTGCTGTTGCCCAGCCTACATCCTGTTAGCTATATATAAAAGTTAACCTGATTTGCCATCGTTAGCTCTACTCCTCTGAAATCCCGCCAAATCAGTCACTAATTCACTCTCAAGTACCATCCATCACCACTCAGATGAGCTTTGCTTCATCTTCATTGATTGAGTTTGATTGAGTGATTGATTGATTTCTTATTACTCTGTCATCCAGAGAAAAAAATAATTTGGAACACTCATCTTCATATTGTATTCCAGGGGTCATTCAGCTCAATTTGGATTTCTGTGATTTGTCTGTCTCCCTCCATTCCACTGACACTGCCTTTCCTCTATTATGCACTTCTGGTATAGGGAAAAGTTTCATAAGCAAGAATGAACAACAATCTATGAAAAGTAGAAAGTTGAAAAAGATTAGAATCTTAAAAAAATGGAAAAAAATTAAACTGAAGTTTGAATTTTAAGAAGATTGGTTTTTCAAGTTTTAGGTGGAATGTGTAAAAAATAAATGCACACACACTCTTAGTTCTCTTATGTTATAGACTCCATTATATACTACAGGAAAAAATGTAAATGAAACCTCTGATGAAATAACCCAATGCATAAACTGAATCTATCAAAATGTTATGCTAGAGGATTTCTCCCCACCAACACTTACGGAATACTGTCTAATATCAGAGTTATATGAAAGCAAATCATGTAACTATTGAGCAAGTTGTTCTAAGTTCCTACAGGTGGGAAATCTCTGGGTAACCTAGGATCTATCCCTGTCTACCAACAACTTTTAGAGTTGCTTCTTTTGTCTGCATGCCCTTTAAACTATATTTTGTTTCAGAGAAGTTTTAACCAAAACAGGTAGTAGGAATGTTTACTAAAATAAAAAGTAGACCTCAACCAAATATGCCTGCACTAATATCTCACAGATATATATTTCATTAATTTATTTTAAGTAGTAGTAACTTGATACTGCTTGAAATAAATTGATAACTAATTTGAAGGCAGATTAGAAGGGTAGGGCTAACCATCTCATGTAGAAGTGATCTCAAAAGTCAACTAACTAATTCACCGGGGTTATCCTGATATTCTACCCAGGTTTACACAGACAGATAGAAACAGAGCTGAGAAAAAGCTCAGGACATCTAACAGCCTCTCTGGACCAAAAGAATGGTGTCAAAGGAACCATTTTTTAGGGCTTTGGACAGTTTTTATTAACTCAAACTTCATAATGCAATTATTTAAATAGATTTTTAGAGCTTTTAAAAATGCATTCATTTCCTCTTTGCTTTCCTACTTTGGTCTAAAAAGTGATCTGAGGTAGTTTATAGAGATACATGCAATGCACCCTGGTAAAGATTTATACCAAGAGAAAAAATATTTCCCAACGCTTTAGAAATATCCATTTGCCACAGGAAAACATACTCTTATTATAAGAAATTCTGACAATGTTGTTACAAATTGAGAATAATCTGCTAATTGTTGAGGCTTCACCATCCTACTTTGTGATGAGCTACTTCTTATTCAAACTAATTTTGAGTTATTTATTAAAATGGGCCCTCCATTTGCAGGTTCTGATCCTGGGATTCATCCAACTACAGATCTAAAAGATTAAAAAATAAAATAAAAACCAATAATACAACCATTTTTAAAATATAAGTTAAAAAACACAGTATGACAAATATAAATAGTATTTACATTGTATTAGATATTATAAGCAATCTACAGATTATTTAAAATATACAGCAAAAATGTACATAGGTCATATATAAATACTATGCTGTTTTGTATTAGAGACTTGAGCATTCATGGATTTTGGAATCTTTCAGGGGAGGTCCTGGAAGCAATCCCTTGCAGATACAGAGGGATGATGATACCACTATATTCCTTACTCTCATTTTATGATTTCTAGAAAAGTTTGAAATCCAGAGACATTGCCAACACAAAGACATACTGTAAATGAGTTCTGGACAAGATATGGATGTTAATTATGTAAGTAGCCACTACACTAAAAAGTCGGTAGCTGATCCAAGACCCCTGCCCTATCCAGCAGCATCTCTGACCTTCAAGCTGCCCAAGCCCATGAGTGACAGCTGCTGATGGGCTTGAGAAGTCCTGGAGGGACCTAGCACATTTCACGTCTAGTTAAGCTCATGAAACTATGAGTATTGCAAACAGGGCATTGTTTAAAAATTGTTGTAATTTAGGAATGTGACAGTTTATTTGTTCCTCACTTTTTGACTTTCAAGGTATTATTTACAACCTCAGTTCTTAGCCCTCTAAGACTGAACAATATGTATGCTGCCAGTGGATGAAATCATTGCTGCTGACAGCAGTGCAAATAATGTTTATAATTTGGGGTCACAAATTTGCTTTTATAATAAATGTCTCAATTTAAAATTATAAGTGCTCATTTGTTTCTCAAGAACTAGTTCAAATGCCACCTCCACTGAGTCCTCAGGCAGTTCATTTTCGTTCCTCTATTATAGTATTATTCACACTGTGTTGTAATCATGTAATTTATTTGCTTATGTGTCAGTCTTGCTTCCCTGGCTGGTAGAATTTCTGACAGGAAGAGAATAAGTTTTATTTTTTTTTAATTGATAGACAGTAGACATTCAATAAGTACCTAATGAAAGATAAATATCATTTTGATAAAAATCTATGGTGTTTTAAGTTGTTTTCTTTCAATCAGACTGTGTTAGAATCAGGAGATGACTTCATCAGAGCTGTAGGATACTTCCTGGTTAAGTACAGGCTCAGGTGTCTAGCTTCAAGGTTAGAGAAGAAGATAGCTGGAATGGGGTAGAAAGATTAAAAGTCAAAGAATTCAGGGCCTTCCTATCGCTTTATACCTTTGTCTTCCTCACTGGTTGCTTGAAGCCATATACAGTAGTGAGCATGGGCATTTGTTGTTTTTGTCCTCTCTGCTTCCTTTCTTCCTTCTTCTGGGAATAGCACTCTGATTTTGCTTTGGAGGACCACCCACTTCAGGTACATTCAGGTTTACCCTGCCCTCCTCTAGCCAAGGGCTGGAGATCTGACCCAAGCTAGGTCATTCAGATTCCTCTCCCTGGAATATGAACATTGAGCAGAGGGACAGGGCTAACTGGCCCTGAAGTGACCATTCAGCAGTCCCTGCTTCCCAGCCTCCCAGTGGCCTTTACTTCCCAGTCTAAGTCTCTTTCCTTGCCTTTCTTTTGGTTAAGTTTCCCCACTTCCAGTAAATTATTTCTCTGATCCAATTAGCCAGAAGTGGATTCTGGTGCCTGCGACCAACAAATGGTAACTGATAGAATCAGTGAATTGAAGATTAAAATACGATCTGATTTATCCAAAAGCCTAACAAGAAGGAGTAACTCTGGATATCTCCAATCTATTCCCCAGGCTCCTTTTATCTCTACTAACCCACTCCACAATCTAGGTAAGCAATCTGAAGAATCCCAATCCCTCTTTGAATATTCATCCTTTTCCTAAAATTACCCAGTTTACCACATTCATCCCTCTGGCCAGCCCCAACATACCTTGCCTACTAAAGCAACCCACAGGTTTCAAGATCCCTGCAGTGTTCAGCCCTAACCTTCCTTTTTCTCTTGTAACCACCCACCCACTGTGCCATAACAATATTGGAACTTTATTATTATTATTATTATAAGATTTCCAAGTCAGCCATATGTCATTAGCTCACTCCTGGCCAGTTGTTTTACCTCTGGTTCACCAGCAATCATAGGAAGCCTAATTATAATGTTTTATTTAACACTCGTATAGTTCTTACTATGCACCAGGCATTGTTCTAAATGCTTTACACATTTTAACGCATTTAATCCTTATTTTAAAAAACCCCTGCAATAGAAACATAAGGCAACATCTTTAGTAGCTTGCCAAAAGTCTCGTTAACAGCAGAATCAGGATTCAAATGCAAGTAGTAATGCAAGTAGTCTGGCTCCAAGTCTGTGCCCCGAACCACCACACCATGGTTTTGAGATGATGGGTTTATTGCGTGGGCAATTAAAGGGAAGGGCTAATCGTATTTTCATCTGCAGCAGCTGACAGGGTACACTGACAGGGAAATGAGATTAGTCCCCACATGTCAAAAATCTAAAAACATCAAGTCAATTTATGGTGCCCTCCAGACCTCCTACTTTCTTAAACACCATGGAAACAAGCCAAAACAATTCTACAGTAGTTTCCATTCACATTGAGAAAATTCTAATGCCCTGGTGGTAGGTGCCTTTCTTCTTTAATTGGCCTAAAATAGACATGTTAATTTTCTAGAAAGCCTGAAATGTAAATCTAGCAGTAAACTTTTACTACTTGTTTTAGCCCAGTGTGTCACCACTTCTGGGAAAGGGAGGGAGGACGTTGCTGCCTCATGGCTGACTTGCTAACTTCTCTCTCTTTGGTTCAAGACAACAGTTGAAGTGATAAAACCCTGACTATGGGTATGGATGATACACTGAGGCCAGGTGGTCAGATCCCTCCAGAACACAATGTCCCTCCTCTCTCTAGGATTGTTAAACCATCATAAACCGTGCTTCAGAGTATTTTTATTCTCTTTTTGGTATTTCAAATGGCAACTAAAGTTTACTGTAGTCATAACAGTCTTGCTGCATTATATGAACATTTTTACTTCCCTTGAATCTTTACAAGTTTTCTGGAAGAGCATATAAAGCAATAATTTGCATATTGAGTATCTCAATTTACCTGTTTAGACCTAACTCCAAAAATTTCTTCTCCCACTAAGTGCTACAATCTAAACCGATGGCTCTTGGTTTCATGAAAGCCAAATACCCTATGCTATGGAGAACACTGAGTGAAATAATGGCACATAGACAAAGTATTGATACCAATTGTTTCTAAATATTTCTAACTTAATGTTTCTAAAATCAGGGTGAATTTTAGTGTTTCTAAAATTAGGGCAAATGATAACTGAAAGCTAATAGTGGGTATCTGTAGGGAGTGAAATTCTAATTTCTTTCTTGCCTTTTTCTGATTTTAATTTTTTTCTACAGAGAGCATGTATTTCTTTTTAAAAAAGCTCTTCCTCCCTCCTATGGAGAATATATTTCTTTTATAAATAATCCAGGCAGCATTATAAAGAAGATTTGTCCATACCTTTATTATACTTGTGGGATCATGATCATACTGTACTAGGTACTTTAAAAAAAATGTATAACTAATAATAAAAGTAAAATGAGCAGAGAACACTCTGCTTTTCATTTTGGAAGCAGTAAAGCAAGATACACATATAAAGTTACTAAAATAAGTAGAAATGAATTTTCCTTCTTATTCCATAGTTTAGACAGTAAGAGAAAAATCTTCATTTTCACCTGGCAAGGCAGTCTGGTGTCAGAGGACCTAGAGTGTGAATGAATGAGAGATCTGCCTTCTGCTGCTCATGAATGGGTTATGTGAGTTCCTCGTGCCCTGCTTTTTCTCAGCTGCAAAATGGAGATAATTATGCCTAGTCCATAGGGCTGTGAAAGCACCAAGGATAGGTTGTGGCACACAATAGCCAACCAATAAATGTCCATTTACTCATTTAAAAAGCTTACTGTAGGCCTCCTCTGTGTCAGCACTTGCAAGGTAAAGGAACAAATAAAAAAGAAAATAAGAGCTGGGTGTGGTGGCTCACACCTGTAATCCCAGCACTTTGGAAGGCCAAGGCGGGCAGATCATGAGGTCAAGAGTTTGAGACCAGCCTAACCAACATGGTGAAACCCCGTCTCTACTAAAAATACAAAAATTAGCCAGGTGTGGTAGCGTGCGCCTGTAGTTCCAGCTACTTGGGAGGCTGAGGCAGGAGAATCGCCTGAACCCAGGAGGCAGAGGTTGCAGTGAGCCGAGATCACGCCGCTACACTCCAGCCTGGGCGACAGAGCGAGACTCTGCCTCAAAAATAAATAAATAAATAAAGACTTTGTGCCTTTCCTCAAAGAGCTTGCAATCCAGAGACTTAAACAAGAAATCATTTACAATGGAGAAGTTTTAGAAGGGCTAGACATCTTTACTTAAATTTTTAAGAATTCTAATAAAGTATCTTAACTTTAACAATGGAGGTCCATTTCTCCAGGCTGTAGAAAGAGTTCCATTTCTCCAGGCTGTAAAGACTTCATCTGCTGATCTGGGATCCCTCTATCTCTCTGAAGCAGGCTGGGAGTGGGTGAGCATCTGTTTATTTGCTGAGTTGTCCTCCATCTGGTCTTCAGTAGTCAGTCTAGGCAAGTTACTGCTGATTCTGTTCATGTTCCCTGAACAGAATGGCCCAGCTCTCTATTAACAAACTCCCTTGCCCCTTTAAGGTACATGGGATCATTCTGTTCTCTCACACCACACTGGGCCTCAGGAAACTCAGCAAGATTATCCTCTTCCCTTTCCCACTTCCGTGCTCCTCCTGACCACAAGAATATCGTTCTCTGATCCAATGCCATGCTGAGCTCTATGGGACTTCACAAGTTCCCTCAGGTCTCTCCACCTGGATGCCCTGTGCAGCCATTTCTACTCTGGGCTCTTACCTCCCTGGGCCCTACACAGGAAAGAGAACCTGGATTCCCTCTGTGTTCAGATTTCACATACCTCTTGGCAAACTCTGTCACTCTCCTTCTCCCTGTGCTGAGCTAGGGGAAAGGACAAGGCAGAGAGTCTCACTCCTTTGTCAGGAATCCACAGTGTCAACTCAACCTTTGCTTACTTCTGTCTGAAGAACTTTCTGTCCTCTGGAGCATGGAAGCTTGGGGGTGATTTATCCCAGTCATCATTTTATCTAGGCACATAGGCCTTTTGATTCCTTATAGGACCCAGACTTTTGAAACTTACAATCCAAGAAAAGAAAGTGCCATCTCTTCTTTGTGCATTGAAAATACAATACCAAAGCTGATAACATATAAAAGTTATCAGTTAAGGCTTCACACTCTTATCCTACCACATAACACAGGGGCTAAGAGAGCTCAAAGGGAAATTGTGCCTAGCTCAGCTGGGGCACTTGGGGAAGGTTTTAAAGAGAGGGCCCAGCCAGAGTTGAGTCTCCTAGGGTGAATCAGAGCTCAGCTCAACACTCAGACAAGGGGGAAGGTCATTCCACACACAGGGAACAACATGTGCAAAGTCACAGTTAGATGAGTCAGGATTTAAACTTATCTCCCACAATTGTCTAAGCCACATAAATCAGGTCTCATTTTGAGAATGGAATAAGCACAGACATAATTGTTGGAACTGGAAGATACTTTAGGGATCATCTAATCTAATCCCTGCATGTAACAGATAAGGACACTGAGGTCCAAAATGATGAACTTTAATCTAATGTTCAAAAACAAATTAAGACTAAATTCAGACTTTCACTTATACCTATGGTCAGGAACTTTACTCTCAATTTGCCCTGCCAAACTATCTCCTTCAAGCCAAAATGAGCATGAATTATATCAGTATTTGTAATAAGCTTAGTAGTGAGATTTTGTCAAGTTTCAAGAAGAAAAACAGTTATCATCCAATGATAGCATTAATATTTTTAAAAGAGAAAGTCCTGTTTTCCAGGAAAGTATCCTAGTGAGATAATTTATGTAGAATGTATTATATGTGGATATCAGCATGATGTACTTCTGTTAGGTCCTTTAATGCCCATAACACCTCTTCAAGGTATATACTATTATTTATACCCATTTTGCAGATAAGAAAACTGAGGTACAGAAAGTTGAGTAACTTGTCCTAGGTTATATGGCTAATAAGTCGTAGGCCAGTAGCAGGCAGTCAAACCCATAATAATTATGCTTTTAACCACTACAAGATCATATTTCTCTTCATGCTGTTATTCAACCTATAGATATACTACAAATATACTTACAAAACCACACAAATGCACGAATATGTATATATAAGGCTTTTCAGGCAGTGGGGTTTGCTTTTTAAAAGACTAGAAATAACCTAAATACCTATTATTAGAGGACTACTTTAATAAATTAAGGCATATCCTCATCATAGGGCCATTTAAAAGAATAGGATAAAGCTATTTGTGCTGATATAGAAAAATTTCTAAGAAACAAAACATGGTTAAGTTAAAAATAATAATAACCAAGATGTATATAGTATGTTCCTAATTGATTCTTAAAGGTTGCTATATAAACAATATTGAAGTTTGATTACGTAGAGAATGTTTGTGGAAGGGTGCTAGCAAGTAATTAGTAGTGGTTGCCTCTGAAGGGGAGACAGAGAGAACTAGGGATGTGAAATGAGAAGGAAATTCATTTTTCATTGTATATCTTTTTTGTAATTTACACTTTTTACCATATACAAATAAGAGTTATTCAGACTTTACAAACTACATTTTTTAAATTGTCAACTAATGCAATTTTTTATCCCAAGATATCTCTTCAACCTTAAGAATTAGTAAAAAACATACTTAAAAGTGGTTTCAAACACCCAAGTTATCATGTTTGTATTTACCTATAAGAGAGCTCTTTAAAAAGACTAGCCTTCCTAACCCTTGCCAGGATATTGAATCATTCCTGACTCACAAGAGAAAATAGCCAAATGAGTAACAAGCCTGATGCCATTTGGTAAGTGGGAGCTCAGGACAAAGAGTGTGGGTAGGGAGTGAAATGAAGGGGGCCCAGGGGAAAGTACCAAAGAGGTAGGTCCCAGTACTGCTAAGATCCCTGCAGTAATGGGACCTTCCTCTTTGGTTAATGTGTGAGTTGTAAGATGTAAAGAACAGCCTTCCTATCATTTAAATAGGTTTTTTTTTAACTTTAAGTGCATGGGTACATATACAGGTTTGTTACATAGGTAAACTTGTATCATGGGGTTTTGTTGTACAGATTATTTCATCACCCAGGTATTAAGTCTAGAACCCATTAATTATACTTCCTGATCCTCTCCTGCCTCCCACCCAGCACCCTCCAAAAGGCCCCAGTATGTGTTGTTTCCCTCTATGTGTCCCTATGTTCTCATCATTCAGCTCCCACTTATAAGTGAGAACATGCAATACTTGGTTTTCTGTTCCTGTGTTAGTTTGTTAAGGATAATGGTTTCCAGCTCCATCCATGTCACTGTGAAATACATTCTTAAATCTCAACACATACCACATGCCATCATCAATACCCACAAGACAAATTATGCTTAGTGATTGATTTAACTTGACATTAAGTGCTCTAACTACTTTCTTTCCACTTGTTCTTTCTTGGTTTGTTTCATTGTGTTCTATACCTATTAATTCAATTTTTAAAAGCTTGATCAAGATGGTGAAACCCCATCTCTACTAAAATATGAAAAAATTAGCCGGGCGTGGTGGCACATTCCTGTAATCCCAGCTACTTGGGAGGCTGAGTCAGGAGAATTGCTTGAACCTGGGAGGCGGAGGTTGCAGTGAGCTGAGATTGCACCATTGCACTCCAGGCTGGGCAACAAAAGCAAAACTCCGTCTAAAAAAAAAAAAAGCTTGATCAGATGTTCATGAAAATTTACCCCTGTCTTTAAGAATCACCAAGTACCCCTTAATTAGGAGGCTGTGTACTTGGGTAGACTGAAGTGGCCTGAGGGAGAAGGGGAGTGTTAAGAACTAAATGTTTGTGTCTCTCCCAAAATTCATATGTTGAAACCCCAATGTCATGGTGTCTAGAGATGGGGCCTCTGGAAGGTATTTAGGTTTAGATAAGGACATGAGGGTCGGGCTGTCACGATGGAATTAGTACCTTTATCATAAGAGACAAGAGAGCTTGTGCTCTCTCTCCCTCTGCCATGTGAGGGCACAGCAAGAAGCAGGATAATTTCTTTATTATACCAATTTAATAGTTACATCTGCTAAATGTAAAATGTAGTGAGATGGTTTCAGATAAATCTCACCTAAGAAAAAAATGTTCTAATGTTCCTGGTCTGAAGATTACTATAGCATAGGTAATCCAGCTATCCAGTAGTCAAAGTGTACTGTTCCTTACAGAAATAGTAAAACAGATTAAACAAGTTAGTTCATCTTATGTTGAGGCTGGATAATTTATAAAGAAAAGGGGTTTATTTGGCTTATGGTTCTGCAGGCTGTACAGGAAGCATGGCACCAGCATCTGCTTGTGGTGAGGGCATCAAGCTGCTTCCACTCATGGTAGAAGGAGAAGGGGAGCCAGTGTGTGCAGTATCACATGGCAAGAAAGGAAGCAGGAAAGGGAGAAGGAAGGTGTCAGACCCTTTAACAACCAGTTATTTCAGGAACTAATAGAGGGAGAACTTACAAACTCCCTCCCCTCATCAGGAAGGGCATTAATCTATCCATGAGGGATCTGGCCCCATGACCTAAGCAGCCCCACAATTTCAACATGAAGTTTGGGTGGATCAAATATCCAGACGATACCACAGAATTCACATGCAAATAAATACAACTAGCAAAAACAATAAAATCCACAAAGAAAAATGTGTATCTGCCTAATAATCAAAGAAATGCAAATTAAAGCAAATAAATGATAATACCAAATATACATAAAATTGCAGAGAAAGTTATACAGTCATGCTATATACACTTTAAAAAGTATTTGTCAATAAATAGCAAGAACCCTAAAGATGTTCGTAATCTTAACCATTATAACATTTCTGAGAATTTATTCATGAAAAAGTAATTCAACTGAATAATAAAATAAAAAGGTATATATGTTAAGATGTCAATATAATGTTATTTATGATATACATTTACATTTCTAAAATATACTTTAATAAAGTTGAAGGCTAAGTTGCCAGTAGCAGTCAGCAAATTAGGATAGATACTATGAAATATTAATCAGTCATTTAAAGAAGCAATTGTTAATAAGACTAAAAACATGGATAATTTTAATGTCAAGACAGAATGTTACATAAAAAAGCATAATATAAAATATTTTTATTATAAATATTATAAAATCTATATGCATGAAAAGAATTAGAAACTATTATGCAAAAATATATATCATATTGGGAAGATACAATTACTAATTAACTTTTAAATGTTTGCTTACATTATTATTGATATTTATTAAAAATAATGGGAATTTAGGACTCAAAGCTTTGTAAATATAATCTAAATACAAGGAGAAAAAAATGAACAACTTCACAAAATACAACCAATTTCAATCATTGAGCTTGATGGTTATTACTTTCCTTTTGTTTGTTTCCAAAAATTCATTGAATATTCTTATGACACAAATTCTTATGACGTGGCAAATGCTTTCAACTACAGAGACTGACTTCCTAAAACCCTGCCCTAAATGCTATAGCTACTAATTACTCAACTCCAGCAGCCCATTATGGTAAGGATGGCTCCAAAGTTGTTTTCCTCACTAAAATATTTGCTTTAAGCATTGTTTTTTATTTACACGCAGAAGGATTTGGGAGTCCAGGCCCAGAACCCGAGCCCCTTAGGGTTATGAAGAAGTACCTGTTAGTTCAGAAGGAAGATTATAAATTCCAACTGTTCTACTCCTTTTCGATATTTGCTTTTGTTGCCTAGAGGAAAGAAGAGGAATGTGTGTTTTTACTAAATATTTATGACTTTTCATCATATGTTGTTTAGAGCAATATGTTTAGAGTAGGGGTACTAAAAAACACTGAAGATAGACTTCCTTGGTTTTCAAATAGAATGCAGATAATCCCACAAAATGTTATTTGACCTTTTCCTTTACACTTTTATTCTCAGGCTCAGAGTCCAAAATTGTGGTTTCCAACCCTGAAAAAATAATCCTGGAACAGCTGGCCCATAGTGAAAACAGACCATCTTGACCTAGGGCGTGGTTGTCCAGGAAGAAAAAGAGTTATCAAGCAGACCCTGGACATTCACTCTAGAGCTGAAACATGAGTAGGATGCCCAGACAACGTTCACTTCTCCAAAGGCAAGAAGGCACAGACACCAATTAGAGAAATAAGATGAAGTTCCAGTTCCCCTTAGCCTGTTTTCAACACACATGCTTAAACCTAGTGGATTTAATGTGACAAACTCCCAAGGGAAAAAATTATTTTATTTAAATTTTGGTTTGCAAGGAAATGAGACAGTGTTTCATTCACCTTAAAGGGATCATTTAACCCATGAAATAAACATGCAGGCACATGCCCAGGGAATAAAGCAATCTGGCAGTAAGCTTAAAAATGATCCTTCCAGAAAGCATTACCTCTCTGCCTCTTTCCTCAACATGGCTCCAAATCTTCCCCTTTTGCTCAATGAAACTCAATACTTTGAAAACTCTATTTCTTCTTTTCCATATTTTTCTTTAGTTTGGGATGAATGAGAATTGCTTTTATTCTCTTGGCTTGGTCAATTAATTGGCAGTTTGTGGAAGTAGAACGAAAGCTGAACTGGAAATCTGAAAAATTGGTTTCGAGTCCCTACTTAGTCACAAATTAATTACATAATTATTGATAAGCCAGTTACCACTCTAGACATCTATTTCCTCATCTGTAAGACAAGAGGGGTGATAACTAGGATACCATGAAAGCTCAAAATGTCCGTAACTAATAGGAAAACATGTAGATGATGCCAAGAAATCCTAGTGGGAGGGTGTATATCTTTAAAAGCAGATGAAAAGTATTATAGAGTTGGTAAAGCCTTACATTTCATCTTTACCTGGCTTGATTTCTCAGAACTGAATCATTTCATGGGATGCATTTCTCTGAGAACTAAGAGACATATAGATCAAAACAAAGCTCTAAAAATAAAAGACGAACATATATTAGAAGAGGTGACTGTGAGCCAATGAACAAATTCCGGCAGTAGGAATTTCAAACATTCTTTAAGACCAAAGCAAACAAGTAGGAAGGAAAAATTTAGATGCCCATTTCAGTGCAGCTTTTCTTCCTGGCAGACCACTTCCTGGGGATATGCTTTCATTTTGCCAGCTCTGCAGCCTAAAGAAAAAGGTATCCTGGGCCAATTAATTTTCTAAGTTTCCACTGGTTTATTCACCATGTAAGAGCTAAATCATGATTAAGTTAGGGATGAGGAATATGCAAACAAGATACAGAAGAGTAAGAATAAGTATAACCCATAAATAATTCCAAAATCACACACTATGAAATAATTTCAACCTCTTCCTTATTCACCAAACTTTTCCTGTCTAGAGATGATAGCAAGTCACTGAATTTGCTGGTTTAACCTTTGTCCTTCTTTCTTCCCCATCTCAGAGCCAAGGTACTACAGGGTAAAATATGCCTTCTCATTCGTCATTTTGCATAGTCAGATTCTTTTGTGGGAAGCAGTGGAAACTTCCCACCTGTACTAGCCAGCCCAGGCTGCCATCACAAAATACCAAAGACTGTGGTGCCTTAAACAACAGCAATTTATTTTCTCATCAGCTGGAAGTCTGAGATAAGGGTACAAGCATAATTGGTTTCTGGTGAGGGCTCTCTTCAGCTTGTAGTGGCCACCTTCTCACTGTGTCTTCACATGGCAAAGAGACAGCAACAAGTTCTCAGGTGTCTCTTCTTGTAAGGGCACTAATTCCATTATGAAGGTCCAACCCTCGTGACCTCATCTAAACCTAATTACCTCCCAAGGTCCCTAACTCCAAATACCACCACACTGGGGGTGTTAGAGCTTCAACATACGTATTTTGAAGGAACATTATCCAGGCCAAAACATCAGTTAACCTACAAAAGAAATGGGCTTGTTAAAGGATATTGAATCACTTACAGAAACAAAGAGAAGTCTAGAGAAGCAATAGGGTAGTTCAGGGAAGCGAGGTAGCAGGTGCCAACAGTTAGCTCTTCCATGGTGTTCACTAGAAAGAATTAGTTCCAGCAAATTTTTCAGTCTGTGAGTCTCTCGATATAAAATTCAAACAACTCACAGAGAATGTGATTAGCCTAGCTTGGGTCATGCAGCCGGGAACCTTGATGAATAGTTTCACAGCACACCATAGAATGGGGGCAGGGGTGGGAGGATGATGGGAGAATAATTCTCTAAAGAAGAGAGATATGAATACAAGGTGGCTAAAAATCAATAAATACCCAGTGTTCTCTATCAAGAAAGAACTTTAGAACAGGGGTCCTCAACCCCTAGGCAAAGAACCGGTAGTGGTCCATGAGCTGTTAGGAACAGGGTCGCACAGCAGAAGGTGGGCAGCAGGTGAATGAGCATTACCGCCTGAGCTCCACCTTCTGTCAGATCAATGGCAGCATTAGATTCTCACAGGAGGAGAAACCCTATTGTGAACTGTGCATGCAAGGGATCCAGGTTGTGGGCTCCTTATGAGAATCTAACTAATGTCTGATGACCTGAGATGGAAGTTTCATCCCAAAGCCATCCCCACCCCACTGCCATCCATCCGTGGAAAAATTGTCTTCAAGGAAACTGGTCCTTGGTGCCAAAAAGGTGGGGGACTGCTGCTTTAGAGGACAGATCTACCTGGGTTTCAATGCCAGCTCAGCCACTCATTAGCTGGTCTTCTGGGCAAACGTATTAGACTTTCTGATTATTTTCTATTTGCAAAAGTTATTGCATTTTCAAATAGAAAAAGTGATATCAGCCTAATGACAATCCTATGTGGACTAAATAAGTTACAGAGCACCTACTGTATCCTAAGTGCTCAATACATGTCAGTCACCTCTCTTCTCCCTCTTAAACATGCCACCACGGCTACTGATTCACCACATAAGTCTGTACACACAGAATTTTCTTTAAAAATATAAAATAAAACACAACTTGTATTATGTGGACATGTCATACTGTTACCAGTGTTGTGTATGTAAAGCAATTATCTGGCATCAAAGGGATAACAGACTTTGAGTCAGACTTAAATGAAAAACTTTTGGTAAGTGCTCCTGGACTAAGATAGGAAAGTCAAATTTTAACATTAGAGGCCTGTGGAATAAACAATCTCGAATAAACAATCTCAATGACAACACTGCTCATCATTTCTGAAAGCCACAAATAAGCCCTCAGTTTGCTAAACACAAGTGGTCATGTTCCCATGAAGCATTCTTGCCACAGGGCTTGGATTTGGGATTTTGACTAGAATCGCTTGTCTTTGAACCTCTTGAAATTATATGTGTGCACACGCACAGGTTGAAAACCACTGCCTTAACCAAAGAGAGAGATAAAGCCCTATAAACCACTCCAAACAGCAAGAGCCACTCTCAACATTCTCTTTCCTTTGAGATTGACTCAATATCCCTCATGCTACAGTGTGTCCTACTTAACACCCACAACAAAAGTAGCAGCAAATGCGTAACACACCAGAAAGTACACAGCTATGCCAGGGATATTGCTGATCTCGTCAAATTATTTTAACAGTGGACTTTTTTTCTATGAAAATCCTCCCTGAAACTCAATATGTAAAACAGAGTTTAAAGAGACAAATGGGTTTCATGGGCAGTTTACATCTTAGTTGATTTAAGGAAAATGCTTCTCATTTTTTGCAGAAAGGCTGAAGCACCTGTAAAAGCTCCTAGAGTCACTTAGAAGACATTTAAGTCATGAAGACACTGGTGAGTAGCTCTCCTGCAAATTCATGTTCTCCAGCCGTAGCTGCTGCTAACCTTTGGCTGGCTTCCTTCCTCCTCCACACAGTGGCTGTTTCAAAATTGTTCTTTCAAGTCCTACCTGTTCTTCAACCCCTTACTCCCTGAAGAGTATAAGGACTCCACAACCACGAGGGTCAGGCCTTAACAATATAACTACCAAGGCTTCTTTCCTCCCTCCTCAAGGTATAATGCTCCATACCCCACCCATTCTGAGCTCCTTTTCTATTGTTTTAGTGTTTTCCCAACACCAGGCATTCAAATATTACCTCCATGACTTTTGCCACATCTGTATTATTATATTTTTTATCAATTTAAGTTTTCTTTTCTAATCAATATTAGTTTTCTTTGTATCAATTTAATTTGCATTAAAACCTTTCATTGGAAAATGTTAAACATATATAAAAGTAGAGAGAGTAATATAAATTATGTACCCATGTACCGGTCAGCTTCAACAATGACCCATGACCAGCTTCAACTTATGACCAATCATTTCTTCATTTATATCAACTCACTTGCCCCCACTTCCAAATATTTTGAATTAAGTCCCAGTCATAGCACTGCATCAATAAATATTTCATTATGTATCTCTGAAAGATAATGGCTTTTTAAAACTTTTTTTAAAAAAACTAGCAGATAAGGAAAAAGGATAGATACAAAAGTAAGGAAGGACCATAATCCGGGGAGTAAAACAGCATCCCAAGTGAGAGGAAAAACCAGAAAGGTGAGAGACAAGCAAAGAAAAGTAGGTCTAGGCTGGCCAGGAAAGTCTCCAAAGATTAAGAACAATAGGCCTGGTGCCAGGAAAACTTTGGGTACAGGTGAGGGCTGGTCCATGAAGTATTGGTAGGACTTTGGGGAAAATGACAGTGCCATTGGTGGGTAGGAAGGATGCCTAGGAATAGGGATGGAAAAAAGGGAAGCAGAGAAACTGGTTCATGCCTGGGGACTGATATACGAGTGCTAGACAAGTGATTCTACAATCAGAAAAATACCAAAGAGAACTGAAAGGGACTGGAGACAGAGAGATGGTAATGGTGGTAGTAGCTGGGGGAATGGTGTGTCTGGGAAAGCATAGAGCTGGGACCTGAGACTCAAATGGGGTGCTGGTTTGGGGAAGGGTTGTTAGGAAATATAGGGTGAAGTGGGCTTGAGAAGGGACACTGCGGGGACTGAGGGAAGGGTGGGTACAAAAGGATGAATGTTGTATATTGGTGAGGGCTGAGGAGAGGCCCACAGCATGTGACTGTCTACCCTAAATGGGTCGTGATCTTGGCCTAAGGCAAAGCACCTCTGCATACCACCAATGACCTCCTGCCTGGGGAATCCAGTGCCCTTTAGTCCTCACTCTACTCATCTCTCTGTAACATTTCACTTTCTTGCTCACCACCTTCTTCCTTTGCACTTTTGATTTCCATGACACTGTAGATTTCTCAGTCTTTGGATTCTCCTTATACCTCCCCAACTTGTTCTCCTTAGTCCTTGGGCGAGCATTCCTCCTCTTCCACCTGCCCTTCTGGGGCAGATGTTCCTAGGGTTACATACTTCCTGTTTAGCCTTGTCTATTGCCACATCTATAGGGTGGTTACGAAATTTATATCTCTAGTCCTATCTGCTATTTTAAGCCTAGAACCCAAATTTCTGTCTATTGTACAACTGTCTCCACACTGATGTGCTGCAGATATCTTCAATTCAACGTATTCAAAAACAAAAACTCAATTTTGTCTTTCTGTCCCACAGATCTAGTCCTCCCATTTTCCTTGCCTTGGTCACAACATCGCCAATCACCCAGCTGCTAAATGAGAAAACTTGGAATCAGTTTTGATTCCTCCCTCTTCTTCACTCACTAACGTAGGCATGTTTGTGGCCACCCAGCATCTTGTGAACGTGCATTCTGTGTTTGAAGAATTTCTCATACTGTGAATCCTGTCCCTTCAATATGTGGGTACTATAGCCTACCCAAATTAATACATAAAATCAGTCATCACAGATAGTGACTCTGACAAAGGAAAATAATATGGGCCCTTGTCCTTGATTAATAAATGTCTAGTTAGGAAGATGCTTACATAAATAAACAACTATAAATCAAGTTATGAGCCTTGTGGTAGGTTCCATAGCAGTTATAAACAAAGGGCTTTGGAAATGGAGAGGAAGGAATAATTACTTGACTAGGGATAGTGAGATTAATATTTAAATCATGAAACTTTAAGTGAAGTATATTACCCTCATAATGTTGTTGGGCCTCATCCAATCATTTGAGGGCTTTAATAGAATAAAGGCTGAGAATAAAGGCTGACCTTCCCTAAGGAAGAGAGAATTATGTCTCCAGACTGTCTTCAGACTTAAGCTTCAACCTCAACACTTCCCTGGTTTATTTTTGTAGAGACAGGGTCTTGCTTTGTTGGCCAAGCTAGTCTCAAACTCCTGGCTTCAAGCGATCCTCTCACATCGCCCACCCAAAGTGCTGAGATTACAGGTGTGAACCATCATGCCTGGCTTGCATAATTTGGATTTGCCAATCTCCGCATCTACATGAGCCAAATCCTTAAAACAAATCAAGATAGATAGGCTGGGTGTGGTGGCTCATGCCTGTAATCCCAGCGCATTGGGAAGTGAAGGCAGGAGGATTGCTTTAGGCCTGGAGTTCAAGACCAGCCTAGGCAACACAGCAAGACCTCCCTCTCTACAAAAAAAAAAAAAAAAAAAAAAAAAGTTTAATTACCCAGATGTAGTGGCACACACCTGTAGGGCTAGTTATTCTGAAGGCTGAGATGGAAGGACCACTTGAGCCCAGGAGTGAAGGCTACCGTGAGCTACGATTGCACCACTGCACTCCAGCCTGGGTGACAGAGCAAGACCCTGTCTCTTAAAATTTTTTAATTAAAAAAAGATAGATGGATAGATAGATACACACACACTATTGGGGCATGTGCATGTATGCACATACACACACACATAGACACACACACACACACACACACATAGACACACACACACACACACACACACACATACATACACACATGCTTTCCAGTCTCCACAATCACATAAGCCAGTTTCTTAAAATAAATCTTAAATTCTTAAAATACACATATATTTGTGTATATATGTGTAATATAAACATATTTTATATACATACACACATATATATGTATATATACACACCTGTCTTCCCATGTGTATGTATACATATATACATACACCAATGTATACATATATACATACAGCTCTTGGTTTACATGTATACATACATGAAGACGGAATCAACAGGATGTGTGTGTATGTGTATACATATATATACACATCTGTATATACACATACACACACATACACACATATACATCTGGTTATACACATGCACATATATACATATATACATCCGTATATACACATACATACACGCATACATCCTGTCGATTTTGTCTTCATGTATGTATACATGTAAACCAAGAGCCATATGTAAAAATGTATACATTGGTGTATGTATATATGTATATATACACACAGGAAGACAGGTGTGTGTATATATATACATATGTGTGTGTGTATATATAAAATATATTTTATACATATACACACATGTGTATATATTTAAGTTAAATATATGCATATATGTATTTACATACACATTTACTATGCATATGTATATAAATATGTAAATTAATATACATATATGTTTAATTATATATACATGAACAATTAAAAATTAACTGGGCATGTGCATACATACACATATTATACACACACACACACACACACACACACACACACACATAATCCTATTGGTTCTGTTTCTCTGAAGAACCCTGACTAATACAGGGTTCCTTACTAGTCCAGTGGGTGGGTTCCCATATCAGATGTTTAGTAACTGCTCCATGAATGGATGGAGCTGGAAGGGAATATGGAGCAGGAGAAGTTGAAAAATGTGAGGCAGTAGGGCACAGGGACCAGGAGTCAGGGTAAAGTTCTAGCGGGGTGGAGCATGATTCTCAAGGTGAGACTTCAAGAATCCTGCTTCTTATTCCGTTTTCCTAGACAAGACCCAAGACAGACACTGTTCATTCAGTAATAGAGATAATATATAAGGCCAGAGGTTCTTTTGGCTAGATCTCTAAGAGACCAGGGTTCAGACAGGGTAATGGTGAAGAAATTCCCAAGCAATGAGTCAGGGCCCAGGAAATGCTTCTGCCTGACTAAAATGATGACAGGATCGTTATCAAGATGTGTCTAGATGTGCACGTAAGTTATGAAGCGTAGGCCAGCCATGACCCTCTGTCCTTCCCACCTGTGCCGCCTACATCTTCCCTCACACTCTCTCCCTGACACCTTTATTCCCAGAGATGCTCTTTACCTCTGACTGCCTTTCCCCAGCTAGAGTGGCCTGTCAGCTGCTGTGGGTTCCTGGCATTGCCCAGCCAGGGCTGCATTTAAAAGCCATTTCACTCTCTAGTCTGTGCAAATACAGGAACTGTGTAAGCAAGTTTTTTTTTTTTTTAAGGGAAAACTATAAAATGTGGACAGTAAATTACATTGCTGTTTTTCCCCTCCCAGTGCAAAATGGCAGGCTGTTAAGTGGTTTGGAGCTAAGTCAGTGTTTCAGATTAAAGGGAGTCAAATCTAAACCTCACATTACTTCAAGAGCATGAAAAAGATATAGCCTTAAATAGTCCCTATAACTGACAGAGGGAAAGGAGGCTGATTGTCAGTTATTACTGCTAATTTTGTATTTGCAGATAGGTGGAAGGTCTCTGGATCTTTTTAAGCACAGGTATGCCCATTTTAAACTAGGCCAATTTAGGAAAACCTAGTCTAGCAAATCAGAAAGTTTAGCAAGTGATTCTTCACATTTCAAAGAATTCTTCACTTCGAAAGCAATTAAGACCATCTCTATGATTAGTAATGGTTTAAAAGTCTGCCACAAATGTATTCCTAATGATCCATCAGAAAAGTATTTCCCTTACTGAAGGGCCCTGGTAATTATTTAGAGACTATAATGAGCCATATCCACATTGCATTATTTAAAACATGTATTTACTGGAAGACTATATTTGACAAAGGATTTCCTACACCTATAAAATTGGCCCCACTGTCAGATTAAATTGTAAAAGGAAAATAAAAAGAAAATACAGAATATAACCTTAAGCACAAGATTGCTTGAAATTCAAATATAATACCCCTATTACCTATTTTTACATGGCATTAACTTTAAACAAAGGATTGAGTACCTGACATTATAGGAACCTGAATATAAATTTGTTTATCCCACAGATGTAGTTTTATTGCTTACTATATGTAAAGCACTGTGTTATCCCCTAAAGTAGATAGAAAATGAAGGTGATGCTTTCCCTCCAAGAAAACTGGAGAAATAAGGCATAAATATGAATCACTTAAGAAATAACAGGGCTGGGTGCAGTGACTTAACACCTGTAATTCCAGCACTTTGGGAGGCTGAGGCTGGAGGATCAACTGAAGCCAGGAGTTTGGGACCAGCCTGGGCAACATACTAAGACCCCATCTCTACAAAAAAAAAAATTTTGTTAACTTGCCAGGCATGGTGGTGCATGCCTGTAGTCCTAGCTACTAGGGAGACTGAGGGGGGAGAATTGCTTGAGCCCAGGAGTTCAAGCTTGCAGTAAGGTATGATCACACCACTGTACTCCAGCCTAGGCAATAGAGTTAGATCTTGTCTCTAAAAAAATTTTAATTTTTAAAAATTTAAAAAAACAAATAAGATCAGAAATTATATAATTAAGTGCCACATTGAAAGTCAGACGGTAACTACAACAGGAAAGGGAAAACTTATATGGGCTGAAGTAGTAAGAGATATGAAACCTGATCTAGCTGAGAAACAGATGAGAGGAAGACAGGCAAGAATTTGCCCTGAAACTGGCTCAAAACAAGCTAGAGAAAGGACTTAAAAATGGAAAGAAATAGGCAGAAAGTGCAGAGGTATTAAAAAAGAAAAAAAAAAAAGGTTGTTAGAGAAATCATTATCAAATAGCAAGCAGTGGGAATGAATGGAACAGTACAGAGACAATGGGGAAAAGAGAGTCAGAAATCATAAGAGATAAGAGATCAAACCCTGTCATAGCAAAAGGGATACAGGCTGTCTATCAAAGCCCTATTGTTCAGGCTGACCCTGTCAGCAAGATTCACACTAAAAGGGTATACTACAACTTTTCAGTCTCCAAAGTACTGGCTTGCAAGTGACACTTAAACCTCTTTTAATGATAGACCTAGTTTGAAACTCACAGAACAGTTTTTCATCTTCTCTCTTCATTAACCTGCCTGCACTAGCAGTTTTCTGTCATAAAATGCTTAACAAAGCTTTAACAGGAATGGGAGTGTTCTAGTCTGTTCTCTTCCTCATTACACTCTTAGGAGGTGCTCTCTCTGCCCCTGTAATATATTTCCTTAATACAGTTCCTGACTCCACTGAACTCCCCTTCAATTGTTGGAAACTTTGTTCATGATCATACCAGGGACAATATGTGCTCTTTCATAGTCATAGTAAGGTGACAAGCTTTGAAAAGGATCTGTGGGTTAATTGCCCTAGAATTAAACCTTTAAGGCCCACAGCAGGGGCAGAGCTAAGAGTCATCTCAGCACAAAGAGAATTCACTCTCTGGCAACAGGCTGAGGGGCTAAACCAGGGTTTAAAAGATCCATGCCTACAGGGTGGAGGACAACCCACTTTGTATACCAAATATGCTATTTCTATTTCTAGATTGTGGTGTCTTTTAGTTGCACAGTGCTTTACAACTTTAAAAAAATCCTATCACTTACCTTATCTCATGTTCTAAATGCTTTAAAATAAAAGATGCTTCAAAACTAGAAAATATTAATTTGCCTTACTGTGTTGTAATATATACACAGTATAGAGAATAAGTTTTAAACATACAGCTCAATTAATTTCTACATATATACATATAAATACACACACACACACACACACACACACACACAGATCATTAACCACCATAGGATATAAAGAATTTCCAGGACCCCAAAAGGCTCTCTTGAGTACCTCCCCCAGTAATTTTTTTCCTCACAACATTAAAGCTTTTTAAAATAAAAATTTAAAAATTGTTAATCCAAACATTTCACTGATGTTTAAGGAAGCTGATTTGACTCATTAATATACTTTCAAAGTTTTAAGAAATAATGATAAAAAAAAAAGCCAAAGACTTATATATGTTAATAGTTTCCACCAAAAAGAAATGTACTATCCCTCTCACTAAACCCTAACCTTTTGAACTGACTCATCAGGGACTTTTTAACAATACTAGGAACTATTGGTAACAGGAATAACAAGTACCAGAAGGCAACAGTTAGCTTTTAAAATGTTTAATCCAGAAATATACCCAAATACATAGCCATTACCAACATGTGAAGTCAGCGGAAAGAGGATAAAAGGAGCTAAGCAAGGGGACATCTGGCCTGGCTTTTTTGTGAAGTCTTCTGTTAATTTTTATGCTGGTTTAACTAACGCACATAGCATAGAAATAATATAGTAGCATAAATGTTACCAAGGGCAAGAATCAGAAACAAAAAACAATTCCCAGAAAAGGGAATTTCATACCTTTCTACGAAAGACTAGGTTATTTCAGGCAACTATGGGCTTATAACTATTTAAATAGTTAAACAGGTGGCTTTCTTCTCCTGTAGGCCACAGGCACAAACTACAATGAATATCACTTGTGAAAATCAGGCACAAGTGAATGAAGAAAAGTTTCATAACTGGACAGACAGCACCAAGAGACTTTACCACAATAACTATCCTCATGGTCAGGGTTTAGGCACATTCTGTAATTAATAAAGATTGATGTCTTTAAATTTAATTATCAATTTAAATGAAAGTACAAAAATGAAATCTTTATGAGGGCTGCAATTACATACTTTTGCCTATCATTCAACAGCTGTCTGCAGTACTCTAATGCCAACTTTATTTGTAACAGAATATTATATAATCAAAGTTAGCTTTGTGCAAAAACAATTTAGATTAAGTCTGGAAACTCTAGGTTTATGAGAGTCTCTAACTTTCTCCACTCCCTGAAATAATCTCTATTCAACCTTCACTCTTATAGAGGGTAAGAAGAGGTAAGAGAACCAAGCATGGCTTTTAACTATCACCTGGTCAATAGCATCAAGAAATACTGGAGTCAAAGCAGAAAAAAAACTACTGTCTCTTTGCTACCATTTACCTCTTTGTTCTCATGGCCAATAAAACACACAAATCTAGGTCACTTAAAATCCTCTAATAGCTAAATGCATCTTTAACAGGTAACCAAGTTAAATTATTCCCCTGTCTCCACCTGAGAATAAACCATGATGACTACTAGGTTAGCTTCCCCACAGGTAAACTGAGGAATGGATCATGTATGCTTGGGAAGCTCTTACTCACAGTCTCACGTACACTAATGATGGCTTAGGAGCCTCCAGCACACACACACCTTCTTGTGTTCCAAAAGCTTTACAACAGCATAGCATAGTAGGAGGCAGAATGATAAATCTCAAATCTCACCTTTGACAGTAACTACTTGTATGAATTCAGAAAGGCACCTAAACTCTCTGCCTCAATTTCCTCATCTGTAAATTGGGAATGACACGTAGCAACCTCCCAGAATTGTTGAAATGATTAAATAAACTGAGACATGTAAAGTACTTACAACAGCCCCCAACTAAATAAGACTACACACCAGAATCGTATACTGAAGTACCATTGTGTGTCTGCGTGTAAAGAGTTTGAATGGGGTCTCTGCTCTTTGCTGATTTATCAGACTAAGAAACAGTATGACTTCAGATGCATTCCTTGGGAAACAGACTCTGAGATGAATATTTTCAGGAGGGAAAGTTCTTGGAAAGTATCCTTGGGATCAACAACTATGGAGGAGCACAAGATATAGGAATGGGCACAAGGAGTAGTTGAACTGTATTACAATAGCGACAAAAGACTCAGCCAATCCTACAGGGTTCTCTGGAGCTGGGATGGTCCTTCTGACTTGGACCACCCAAGTCTCAAGGGATTGAGACTTTATAACTCCACATTGACCAGCCATTTGCTGTGGGCTGCCCTCAGGTGGGGGTCATGACCTTGAGTGAATGGGTCCCTTCAGCTAATACCCAGGCAGAGATTCAGCTGAGAACTAGCAGCCATCAGCAGTCCAGCCACTATGGGAATGAGTCCCTCAGTCCTGAAGGGAGGATGTGGACAGCACACCAGATTTATATCCACTTGTACAGAAATACAAGTGGCACAATGGTTGGGCTGTACTTGATCTGGTGTGCTTTCTCTGTGGGGAAGTCTACCAAGATTCTGATTGGTCATCTCTTCCTGCAGAAGTTTATGTGAGAGAGGGAGGTGTTAGTGGGGCAGCTGGTGTCAAGACCACAACTGATACTCAGTGCATTGCTTTCCTACTGTATCTCGACCCTCTTCTTGAGCCCTCATTCTTGACCCTCTTCATCCCAAGCTAGTGTCTCTGCTGGTCAAGGCAGCTTAACTTGGGGGGTGACCCAGACCTCATCACTGCGGGACATGTTCTCAGTCCATGACTTCTATACTTTTCCATTCACTCTCAAAATTGAGCAAAGGAGTACTAAGAAACTCCCGAGTGAGCCACCTAAGTGCCAACCAGATTTTTCCACACCCCCATTGGGTAGCAGCAGCCTTACTATTTTCTTTCAGGACCAATTATCCCTGCCAGGATGGTGACCCCTTCTTTTCACTGCTGTTCTCTTGGCCTGAGGAACCTGAAGTGATGGGGTGGCAGCCACAGCTTAAAGTTTCATAGGACTGTTAAGCTGGCCCTTGATAAAAGTGTTCATCTTCTGAGAAGCAGGACCTCTAAACCCACAGATCCCAAAGTTGTGGGGACTGGAAGCCCAAATTCTTCACATGGGCTTCAAAAGGTAAATGGCACTACTCCAACTTTCAAGCCTTCATCGCTGGATCCATTCATTCTGTCTCTTGGACACACAGCACTATACAATGATGGTTAAGGGATATGCTGCACTTACACCCCATCCTCACAAGTTATCATCTCCAAATTGACACTTCACTTATGTCTTCACAAGGTCATTCTATCACTCTACTAGACAGGCAGTTTCTGGGTGGTATGGTATTTGATAAGGCTGGTGGGTCCTATGGTCATGTGTCTACTTTCACTCCTCTTTTGCTGTAAAGGGTTCCTTGGTCTGATACAATGTTATGCCAATCCTGAGCTGGTGGATCAAACACTCTCTAAGCTGCTGGATAGTGATGCTGACTTCCCTGTGAGAAGGTAAGGAAAACCCACATCCAGAATACATGCGGATTTCAAGGTGAAAAGGGTCCAGTGTAATCAGGCTGTCACCAATTGTTTGGTTTTCTTGAGGGATGGCGCCATATAACAAACATATAGGAGACTGCATAATGGGAATGGAGATTAGCTGATGTCAGCTAAGTCATTCTGTCCACTCGGTTAGACATTCATGGTGCCTTTTCCATAATGGATGCTCTCTGGTGGAGATTAACATGTAATACAAATATCTTCACACTAAGGGCTTACTCCCATGTGTGCATCTGTATTCTTCTCCCCAGACCTCCTTATCCTCTATCTTCCATATTCTCTTTCTATGTCCCTGACAAACCATTTTCCATAGTCCATGACTTCATAAGTATTCTTACTTCTGGCTACTTCTCTTTACACACACACACGCACACACACACACACACACACACTGAATAACAAGGGCACACCAACAACTCTACATACTGGGAGGATATTACAACGTCACTCTACCTCTGAGGGGCTATAGTGCATCCAAGTCTATTTTTGGCTTGTACCCAGATCAATTCATCTGTGAGTCAAGTTCAGGCCTTTTTTCTTCTCTGTTAGCTGGCCATAAAGACCCCTGGTCCCTACAGTCCTATATGTGAGCTGGGAGAGAACTGCCATTGAAACAATGATAGATGGCATGGGCTTTGTGAACGTACCACTTTTATTTATATTTGATTGTTGCTGGGATCACTAGAATTTAACTTGTGGTATGACCCAATCCAGCTCATGATAGGCCATTCGGGCTGCAGGGTCATTTGGTATCCCACTATCTAGTGCTCAGTAGCAGCCCAGGAGCTGTTTATTGAATGGTGTATAATTCTCTGCTACAGAAGGCATGTCCTAGGAGTCTGCATTGTGATTCTTTTTTAGGGGTGTTAGGAGTGGAATTTTGTGTCCCCTCCAAAAATTGTTGAAGCCTGAACCCTCAGTGTAGCTGTATTTGCAGATGGGGCATCTAAGGAAGTAATTAAGGTTGAATGGAGTCCTAACGGTTGGGTCTTAATCCAATAGTTTTAGTGTCTTTATAAGAAAAGATACCAGAGTGCTCCAACTCTCTCTCTTCCACAAACATATCATACAAAAGGCCATATGAGAACACAGTGAGAAGCCAGCCATCTGCAAGCCAAGAAGAGCACCTTCACCAGAAATCCACCCTGCTAGACCTTGACCTGGGACTTCTAGCTACCAGAACAGTGAGAATAAATATTTCTATTGTTTAAGCCACCCAGTCTATGGTATTTTAACATGCCCAGCAGATTAATACAGGGGGCTTTCCACAAACTCCACATGGTATCTTTTTCCACTACCAACACCCCTTATATCATATGGTCAGCCTAGTCATATGGCCTGAGTAGCAAAGCCACCTGCAGCACAGCCTAGAATGACTACCGTGCCCTTTCCTGCTATGGGCCCTACTCAGAGATGGGTGCCTTTTATATCACTCAGTTAACAGGTAGAAGAAATGTTCCCAAGTGTTGAATATACTGCTTCCAGAACTCGAAGAGGCCGAGTGGATGTTTTACCTTTTCTTGGTGATAGGACGCTGGAAATGCAATAATTTGTTCTTTATTTTGGAGGGAAATTCCAGCATGCCCCAAACCAATAGACCCCAGGAAACTCTACTATTGTGACAAGCACCTGAATCTTCATAGGATTTATTTCCCACCATCTATAGCATGTGGATCTTTACCAACACTTCCAACATACTTGCCATTTATTGTTCATCCAGTCCAACTAACATGGTGTCATGAATATAGAGGACAAAGATGACGTACTACAGAAAATCCAGGTGGTGCATGTGTCCCTTCGGACTATATAATGTTAGAGGGTGGGAGAGTTAACATAACCTTAGAACTATTATTATTCTAGTGAATGCAAACTCTTTCTGATCCTCTTTCCTGTTAGGGATAGAAAAGAACACAGATACCAAATTAATGCTCATATACTATGTGCCTGAGGCTGTGTTAATTTGTTCTAGCAAAGATACCACATCTGACACAGCTGCTATAATTGTGCTATTACTTGGTGGAGTTTGCAGTATTCTACTCTAATCCTTCAGGATCTGTATGGTTTTTTTCATTTATTAGACTAGGCTGATAAATGAAATAGGGACAAGGACTGCCTGCATTCTTCAGGTCTTTAAGGGTGGCACTAGTCTCTACCTATTGCATCAGGAATATAATATTGTTGATGCACTCTCTTGAGTAGGGTTAAGGGGTATTTTCAGAGGCTTCCACTTGGCCTCCTTACTATGACTACTCTCACCCCACAGGCCAAGAACCAATGTGGAGGTCGTAGTGACTACCTATATGCCCATTCCATTACACATTCAGAGCCCCGTGAAGTGACCACAGAGTGAATCTTTGGATGCATTGGACACATTATGAGCCAGACCTGAGCCAGGATTCCATTTATTACTGGCCTTCACATACCACTCCCTTCACATACCACTCCCTTAACAGGAAGCCACAGGTCTTAAGGTATCAAGGTCATTTTGGACCCTGTATCTAACAACCCTTAAAATTCTGAGTATTCTTTTCCCAGGATAGTTACCTGAGTAAATAGCCTTAGATCCTTTAGGGGATAACTTGAAGAAACACTGCCATATCATTTGCCGTGCTATTATTGCAGGGGACTTCTTCCTGAGGACCCAGACTTATTTTGAATTAATGACTTCTAAGTCTGAAAACTGGCTCAGGTCCAAAACTTTGGCAAAGAATTGTAGCTTTTCACTAGGGTGGTTGCTCTCAGCCTCCTGATTATCCGTCCTGCTGGGTTCTGCAGCTCCATGGCTTAGTCCCTTTCCTTGCTTAGCAAGCTCACACTTCCGTAACCTGGTTATGTTTTGCATGATGCTAGGTAGCCAGGAGGTGGGAGCAGATCCACCAAGGAAGGTAGGTGCAGTTTTGCAAAGCAAAAGTCTCTATATTGCCTTCAGGTAAGGGGTGGGGTTCTCATCTCTAACAAAAAAAAAGGGGCTACTTCTGTAAGCTCAGGAGGTTTAGGGAGAGCTGGGTACCTTGCCCCATGTTTCCAGCTAAAGTTTTCGTCATTCTGTTTTTTCAGCCTGGGCCTTGGCATAGCAAATTTGCTGGGGCTGAAAATGTAATCTTTTCTGGGGATATGCTACTCTTAAAATAAAATCCTGGGTGTGGTTTTCAGCATTTTTGCCTTCAGACTGTAGGAGATAAGAGTAACTTTAATTTCTGTTAAGGAGGTCTGCCAGACTTTCACACTTCGGCTTTTTTGTCTTTCTCCTATGCATTAATGGAACTCAGCAACAGCCATCCAATTCCACTATCCTTACAATTAGTACTTGTACCTCTCAAAAATCTGAAAAGTTGCACCAGCCAAGTCATTCCCTTCCTGGGTATCCCATCCCAGTTCACCAGTGAAAGCGTTAACCATTGGATGGCTACTTCATAATAAAGATTATCCACTATTACTAGCCAACTACAGTGACCAAGCTCCAAATTCCCACTTCAAAATCAGCTTTCTTAGAGCCCTTCTGGTACCAAATTTCTTAGGTCAATTTCCCTGGAAAACTGATTCTGAAGGAGATTTGAAAACATGAAGTTGACTGAGGAGGACCCTTGGTTTCCACACCTGTGGGAAAATGAAGGAAGTAGGTGTGGCCAGAGAAAAGTATTAAATTTCAATGCAGCCACAAACACAAAAGATTCAGCTGTAACACTGGGAATCTCTAGAGCTGGGATGGCCCATCCTCAAAGCAATAGGATTGAGCCTTTATTCCCCTGCCTCAGCCAATCATTGTATGAAGGCTGTCCCTGGGAAGGTGTTGTGATCCTGTGAGACACTCTTTGGTTGAAGGGAATTCCCAGGGAGGGACTCAGTGTAGGAGCCTCAGTCTCTAATTTCCCATCAGTAGAGAATCAGTGATTTGGTTCTGAAGGGAAGATCTGGGTAATGCACCACAGCAACAACTACAAATACACATTACACACATACCTCTACAACACACACACACACATATTTTAAATAGAAGACCCTGAATAAGGTCAAGAATCAATGCATCTTTTGCTCGATATTTCTAAGAAAAATAAGGCACCCCACTGCTCAAAATCTGAAGATTGTTCTTCTACCATAAGAAAAGTATGCAAATGATTTCAATCAAGGGCAGAGTCAAGAATTTAAATGCTCTTGCCACAATGAAACCAAAAATATAACATCTAACATAGATAAATGTAGGTTCAAATTTTAATTGCACAGACTAGAGGAGACCTGATGTGACAACATTTCATGCAGAAAATATCCAGAAGGGTTAGTTCTTTCCAAGTTTAGTATTTGTCAAGAGTATAAGGCAACTGTCAAGAAAGTAAATGTATTTTTATTCTCCATTAATAGAAATACAGTGTCACTAGCAGATGTCATGGTTTTGCCATAGATCCCATAATGGACAACCACATCTGGAGAGGTATTCAGTTCTGAGCCTCACATGTTAAAAGACAAAATTTAAAAACCAAACTGAGTCCTAAGAAGATCAATCAGAAATCTGAAAATAATGCCTTATGAAGAAAAGCTGAAGGGCATGGAAGTGATTACTCCGGAAAGGAAAAGACTTCATGAGAAAGAAAGAAGTCAATTGATAGTATATTGGGTCTGGGTTTCCCCAAAAAGGACTAGAATTTGTGGGCAGAAATTACAGGGAGCAGATTTCAACTCAAAATAGTCAAAAACTTTCAAACAAATAGAGCTGTCAACAATGAAGCCAGCAGAGACGGCTCTGCCTAAAAGTGTTGTTAAATTAAGTTTAGCCTAAAGCTGCCTCCTAACATATTTTAAGTTCTGCCTAAAGGTTTCTCCACACACTGTGAATTGTAACCTACTCTTATAGCAATCACAGAGTTTCAGTCAACCACAGGTTGCCAAATGTTCAATCATGTTCAAATAAGGCAAATGCTGAGTTGAAACTAATTCAGCTATAGTGTTTCTATAGTTCACTTCCATCTTCCATACATCACTTTCTTTTTTCTGTACATAAAAGTTATCCAACCATGTAGCAGCCACAGAGGCACTCTGAACCTGTTCTGGTTCTGGGGGCTGCCCAATCTGAGAAGCATTCTTTGCTAAATAACTGCTAAATTTATTTTGTCTAAAAAAATTTTTGTAATAGTGTCCAAGCCAAGACCAGGCACTCCTTGGGGATGGTAGAGAGATCCCTCACTAGATAGAGATTATACCAAGTCTCCCCACACATATGCTTTAAAATCTTATTTTTCTAAGGCTAAGAGTTAAGAATTGAGACCATCTCAGGCCAGAGAAGAACTAAATTTCAAAACAGAGGCTGGCTTTACTTTTATCTCTCACTTGAATATCTATGATGTACATAAAACTTTCCCCATCTCAGCATTAGGACAGAAATGCTGCTACTGTCATTCCATCTTGCCAGGAAAACAGAAGCATGGACAAATAATATCTGAAAGATGCAATGGCACAAAGCTCTAACCAATACAACTCAGATGTTTCGAATCTCACATACTCAATATGCCGATTCAAACTCTTTCTCAAGAACTCCCCAATAAAACAACCCATCTGTGTGAATTTAAGTCCACATCAGGTCTTTGGAGCCAGTTCGTGCATCTGGAAATAAATACAGGAGTTGGGGCTAAATAGCCCTTCAGTTCCTTTCAGCCTAAACATTCTTATAGCCCAAAGGAAGGAGGCATTGTTTTTAAGAATGCCTTAAAAGTCATTAGTTACCCCAAAGAAGCAATCTTTTTTGTGGCTGTACAAAGTAGTTATGGAAGATACATTTGTTTTTGAAATTTATGACTTAGTAAGACAACTGCAAGAAAGCAAAACCTAACTCCCAGAAAGAAAAATATCTAGGATTATCAGAGATACTTGTTTAGTATTTTTTCCTGTGAGTTTATAGAAAAATTTCAAAAACCAACTGCTCAATGTTAGGTATACATAACTAGGGGGAGGTAAGGTAAGCTGATTTTAGGAACTCTGTGCTTATCCCTTTAAAACGATGTTTTCAAAAAGAAACAAAAAGAGGATACTGGGGTGTTTTGGGGGTAGAAAACCTTATAGAATACTATTAAAATAGGAACATAACTGGCTGGGTTTTTTTTGTAAAGATGTGAATGTCATGTTACATATATGTGTCAGATGATTTGTGTGATATTTTAAAAGTTTATCATCAACAAAGCTTCACCTATTATCTCCATTTTTATAGATAAGGAAATTATGACACAGAATAATCCAAATTTCCACAGGAAATTACTGATATAGAATTAAAGCAAAGCCTGCCAGGTATTTCCTGTGTCCAAAAAAGTAAAGTATATATTATATGATATAATGTTATTAAAATTGCTGAAAAATTATCAAAGCCTTATTAAATAACTTTTCATCTATATTCACAAAAGGAAAAAAATATGGTTTTTGGTTCATTTGTTTTCTTCCCATCTGAGAGCAGCATAATAGCAGAGTGAGGAGCTGAATAGAAGGTATACTTTGAATGGCAACAAAATGCACACCTGTCCTGAAACATTCACCTTATATTGAATACAGACCTGAAATATAATATTTGCATTCATCATTCCTTTGGGTTCTAGTACTCTTGGTCACTGCTAAAATACAGCATGCTCTCCAAAGGAACAACACCATCTAGTAACATTTATTTTGGATGCATTTAACAAATAAACTAGTCATCTAAAATGCTAGCCATAGCAGCTGTTAATCAGCTGCTAAAAAGATAATGTCATCTTAATTTGTGTTAATAGAATTGTAATTACATAATTTAGACAATAAAACCCAGAGAAGGAAAATGTCAATATGATTTGGGGGAGCGGTGAGAGTAAAGAAGGGGAAAGAGGGAAAGGTCTGAGGTGGCGATGTCCAGGTGGGAGGACCTGGTAAAGGAGAAGTAAAATGGAAGAAAGGGAGGATTCTGGCCATTAACACCAAGATTCTGGGTTTAGAGGCTAAGGAGAAAGACACCTGCCTTGAAGAATAAATCTGCATGGCTTCAAGGATGGGGAGCATGCACTCAAATTTGAATGAAGAATAGCTAATGTTTGTGAGGTACTTTGCTGTTTATGAAGTACTTTCATATTCATGAAATATGTATTTAATCCATCCACCCACTGAGATGGTTTCTTTCTATCATCCTCATTTTAAAGATGAAAACTAAAGCTGGGATGAGATGATTTGCCCTGATTCACACCAGGCCTTCTACCTCCAGTTTCACATGCTCTTCACACACCACAGTGCAGCTCCAAGACGGTTCAGGTTTCTTCCACCAACTTTGTAGATATTAGAAGGAAAATGCACTCACTCAAAATAAATAGTATTGAACTAAACCACACTTTATATATTTCAAAGTGTTTTCACATACGGCAATATTGTATGTTCCTCATTTTAACTGGGGAATCAGGAACTATTATCTCCATTTTTATAGATAAGGAAATTATGACACAGAATAAACCAAATTTCCACAGGAAATCACTGACACAGAATTAAAAGCAAAACCTACCAAATGTGGCTTTTCTTGTCCCTTCCCAGTGCGTGGTTTTTGCAAAGCTGATCTCTGGACTATGCCGTGATGAATAAGACTTACAGAAAATAAAACTGGAAGGAGAAGGGAAAAACTCCCAGGACAAGCCAGGCATGGTGGTTTGCTCCTGTAGTCCCAACTACAAGCTGAGGCTGAGGCTAGAGGATTGCTTAAGTCCAGGAGTTCAAAGCTACAGTGTGCTGTGATCGTGCCTGTGACTAGCCACTGCACTCCAGTCTGGGCAACAGAGAAAAACCTGTCTTTATAATAAATAAATATTTTTTTAAAATAAAAAGCTCCCAAGACACACAGAAATAGAATAGGCCCTCATAATCAGAGCTATATTAAACTGGTTTGGAAAAAAACTACAAGTTAAAATAGTAACAGCAATAATAAAACAACAATAATAAGTGCTTTGGAATGGAAAAAACAAGGTCTCTATTAGAATCACCACACAGCTCTCTTATAACTGCTGCCCACACCACCAAGAAATATAATATCAAACGTCAACACATATTAAGAATAAACCACAACAACTGCATAGGTAAGAGGCACTATGATCCCCTTTGAGCTGCCAAAATAACTATTTAGTTTTTCTAAAGCTGTAGTGGAGTTGGGGGAGGCATCCTGATGCCATAGGTGGGAGAAATATTTTTACCAACTAAGCTCATCATATGTATGTGGTCAAAAACCAGAAAGTATTTTACTTTTATAAGACAGTAGGTAAATGATTCCCAGAAAAACTGAGTAATATTTGAATAAAATGTTATTTACTACAGCTGATATATTTTCTTTTTTGAGCTCTCTGACCTGCCCTATTTAATGTTTAGTAACAGATGAAATGTATCTGTGAAAAGTCATAAGTGATACTGATATTTTGCTAATACTCTCCTACAAGAAGATTGCTTATGTCATGCTGCAGTTGGTTTACCGATTTTTTAAATTGCAAAATAAAGATCTGATAAATAATTAGCTCAGCAATTCCCAGCCTGAATTTAGTAATGCAGTCTTTCTATTCATCTTGCACCAGGATATCTGTAATTATTCCAAAGTCTATCATGGAAATTTTCCAAAAGTCTCAAAATAAACCAAGGAAAAAACTCACAAAACTTTTAGGAGATAAGGTGCCAAAAGAGTGTCACAAAATCAAATTATAGGTAATGCAAATCTAAAAAGAAGTCTAGAGGTCATTGAATTAAACCAATGGCTCTCAACCTTGGCTGAACATTAGAATCCCCTGGGAGCTTTTCAAAATCCTTATGTCCAGGCTGTACCTCAGACCAATTACATCAGAATCTCTGGGAGTAGGACACGGGCATTAGTAGTTTTTCAGGCTCCTCGGGAGTTTCCAATGTATAGCCAATATTGAGAACCACTGGAATAGACCCATTAAAAGACCAGATCCTTAAAGTTGGTGCTGTCTTCTGTTAGGCTTAAGGGAAAAAATAAACATTTGAAATGAGAGCATGGGCTTTGGGAATCAGAATGCTAGCTGAATCACCTTCCAACTGCAGGACTAGAGCAAGATCTTCAAGTCTCTGGGTCGCCATACCACTTCAGAGGGCTGCTCTAAAGAATAAACTCAATGAAAGGATATGTAAAAGCACCTAATCCACTGTCTACAGGGCACACAAAAGCACCAGAGAAATATTCCTCTCCTCCTCTCCCATTCTCCCACGTGTTTTAAGCAAGAGCTACTTCCTGACCAAATGGATCAGAGAGTAATAAATAGACCTAATCACATGTCACACTTGTTCCCAAAGTATTTAGGCATGTACAACTACAGCTATTCTTCCATCAATAATGGAACAGAAATATGTGCCCCAAGAGTCTCTACTCACTAATGATTTCCACACCAAAAGCTCATCTAAAATTTGATCATTTGAAGCAACAATGAGATACCATTTTTTGCCAGTTGGCGAAGACAAAAGACTGATAATCACCAGTGTTGGCAGAGATGTAGGGAAACAAGGTTTTACAAATTAGTACAACCTTTTTGGAGAGTAATTTGGCAGCATCTATAAAAAAATCTAAATGTACATATTCTTTCATCCAATTAATCTATTCCTGGGCACCTAACCAGAGATATACCTACATATTTACTCATGAAGATATTGTCCTGATTGGTTTGGTTGTATGGTTGTGTCTTGTACTCATCACTTTCTGAACTCTTCAGTTGTTTGTAGTCCATCTTCAACACTAGAAGAGAAACCCTGTAGGAAGAGTCTGACCGATCTAGCCCACCAAGTGAGAAGAGCTGGGCTTGCCAAAGGGGCCCACGTGATGGTCACATTTAGTGCCCACAATGTCATGCTGTTTGAAATGCATACTTCTTTGCTTTCTAATGCACTAACTCCATCAATCAGTGTATGACCCTCTTTATTTAATATTTTATTTTAAATAATACATAAACACCCATGAACGTACTAACTCAAACAATGATATCAGCAATAACTCGGATCACTTACATTCTCTCCCCTGTGCTGTCTTCTCTATCCCTCGCCCCCTCATGAGTAAGCACGATCCTAAATTTGGTGTTTATTGTTCCTTCTCTTGTTTTGGAATGTTAAAAAAATGGTATTGTACTATTATAAATGGTTTTCTGGGATTTTAGATTTTTACTCAATCCTTTTGTGACAAGGATTAATCTGGTTGTTGTATGTATCTGTACTTCCTTGTTCATGACAGAATTAATTAACTATAATATATTTAACCATTCTCCTGGAATTGGCATTTTGTTTCCGGTTTGGGACTACTAAGAACGGTGGCATTATGAAACTCTTCCTGACATTTTTATAACACAGGGGTGGTCGATTTCTGGCAGGAAATCTGGCTGCCATCACACTAACCTCATCACTCACAGGAGTCATTGACGGTCTCCCCTAAAAGGCTTAATTTCTCTCCCCCTCCTCTGCCAATCCAGGCCAGTTCAAAGTGCCCTAGGGGAGAACTTTACAAGGGGCAAATGCTCCTTTAAAAGGCAGCACCTGGCAGCAAATATTTATTGACATAACTGGCTCCTTCCAGAACTATCCTGGCAGTTACCCCCAGCCCCAGGCTAGCTGCTTAACTTGCCTACTTCCTGCCAGAATTTTAAAGATATTTTTATTTGAAAGACAAATTCCTGAACAGTTTGACTTCAATACTTTATTCCTACCAGAAAGAAAAATCACCCTCCAAGAGAATTTTAGCTATAGATCTACACCAACATCAACTCCCACATATATTGTTGTTTAAAAGTCATACTTGACGTCTAATGTCACAAAATGCAGAGAGACTTCTTGATTTTCTCTCTCTCTCTCTGTGTGTCACACACACACACACGCCTGAATGAAAAATCAAGCATCAATAGCACTTATAACCCACTTTATTTCCCCTTACCAAGCAGATACAAACACTTTAGGGAAATTTAGGAAAAGAGGAAAAACAGGATAACTATACATTGTCTTGCAATGATTTTTTTTAAGTTAATTTAGAATAGGGCCCAAGGGCCCAAAGTGTTTGTAATACCTGTGTAAATACTGCCTTTGTCTCACCAGTATTTTAAAATTTATTCTGTGTTCCCATTGTCCAAAGACCTCAAATTATATAAATCATTTATTTTTAATTAGGTTTTTAAAAGTTGCTAAATTCTGGGGGTTCAGGAGTGCCCCTGGACCCACATTTCCGAGCCCGCTCCTCCGCACACTCCAGTACTCGCCCATCGGTCTCCCTTGTCTTCCTACTGGCTCCCATCTGCTATCCCCTTCCTCAATCCCACAGCTGCAAGAGGGAGCACTACTGCAGGAAACCCAGCCACTGGCCACCTTCCACCCCAGCAGGGATTGGAGCATTCAACTCCTGTCTAAGCTCACTTCTGAGCAGCTGCTCCCCCAAATAGCTTAATAAAACCACGTCTACTCTTCCTAATGCTTTTGCCCTATGGCCAGCACCATTCTCCTCAGAGACCTCTTCACAGACTATTGAGATGATCAGCATGAACTTCCTCAACATCTTACCACACACGCCCATCTCAACCCACACTTTTATCTGTTTTTATCCACACTGATCAGTGCCAGCTTTCTTCTCATCACAGAGGAATTGACCCCCCCTTTTCTGGTTTCTGGCTAATTCCTTCACCTGTGCTAGCAAATTCCACCCCCTCCCACCCTATACTTCAGAATTCTTTCTGTCTCTAGCTTGGCTACTTCCCTGCACATCCAAGTGGTTCACTTCTTAAAATCAACAAACAAAACTTCACCATTCCTATGTCTCTCTTTTCCCCTCACAGCCAAGCTCCCTGAAAGAACAGAGGGCAATTCAACCTCATGTCCACTTCTTACCTCCTGTCCACTCCTCCACAGACTGCAATCTGGACTCCAGCCGTACCACTCCAGACTCAAGGGTTTCTGGCAAAACTCTGATATTCTCCCTCCCCATCGTTACTAAATCTACTGCTTCTTTTTTTCCCAGTGCAAACCTTAGCTGACCTCTTTGTGGCAGCTGACAATATTAACTACTCATTTCCTCTTAACAATTTTCTCCTCTCTTGTCTTATAATTCCTTCTACTTTTAATATATAGGACCATTTTTTCCTCATCTCCTTCTTCTCCTTTTTTTCTTTTTCTTTTTTTTTTTTTTTTTTTTTTTTTTTTGCCTCCTGTTCTGTTGTTTCTCTCTTAAAATGCTCTCTATGCTTCTAATCTCAGTTCTGTTCATTACTCTGAGCACATTTTCCTTAGAAAATACCAACTCCCCAATATCCATCCTGGAGCTTAACTTCCCCTGAGCTACAGACTCACAGAGCCAACTGTCTCCAGGCATCTCCATGTGCATCCCAAGTATAACAAGTTCTACACTGAGCTCATAATTCCTCTCATTCCCAAGCTTCCACCAGTAACCCTGGACTTTTCCTGTTTTCTCTTTCTAAGTAAATTACATCACCATCTGCCTAGTCACCCAAGTGGGATCCCTGAGAAGTAAGGCAACTCCCTCACCCTGCCTCCCTGAGGCATTCAATCAGCCCCTGACGCTTGTACAATCTACCTCTTTAACATCACTGCCATCTATTTCCCTTTCTCCATTCCCATTGCATTTGCCTTAATTCAGACTCCTTTCATCATTAAAATTAATAAGAACTATATTTACTTGAGTACTATATGCTGGGAATATAACATACATAATGCCAGGAGGTGTTATTGCCCATATTTTTACAAATAAATAAATGAGACCCAAAAAGGAAAATAACTGCATCTTGTCTCACATTTTGAGTCTAAACCCATCTACACTGCAGACAAAATCAGCTCTTCTTTTTTTAAAATCATGTTTATTGTGAAAATAACACATATACAGAAAAGGTACATAAAGTAAGAACAGCATAAAAATTATTATAAAGTCGTCTTTCTAAAATGCCAATCTAATCTTGCTCCTGATATTTTCCTAACCTTTTCAAAGTCTCCCTGTTGCCTTTAAGGGTAAAGTCAAACCTGAGCAAAGCACAAAGGGTCTCCGGGGATGTCAGCTCAGCGTGTTTCCTCAGCCTTTCTTAGCCACGCCCTCTCACTCACCCTGGCTCCAGCCCCACACGCTGTATCTCCATGCTGCAGACTTTGATCCTACATGGCTCCTGGCTGAGAGTGTGGTGTATATTCTTCTCCAGCCATTGCTTCACCCCTTCCATTGGATACCTAATTTACTCTTTGGGAACTACGTCTTATTGCTCTTTTCAGAAGGAGCTTTGTCTAAAGGGGAAAAAAGACTCTTGGCAATATTGCATGGCCAAAGCCATGCATGAAAGCCTTCGCTGTTCACCTGGAGTATCAGAAATGGGGAAGTTCTGACATATTTGGGACATGTCCACTCTGTCTAAGAAAAAAAAAATCAGGAAGAGATTTGAGGCAATCATTTTAGGTCATTTATGGTGAGTTCAGTCTACTCTGACTGAAGACTACATCTCAGTAATTCCTACCCACAGCCCCTCACCACCCCAAAATTAGGTGGAAGCTACTGGTAATGTTGATTATTATTATTATTGCCATTATTTTATGTAAATCTATTCAGCTGTGCAAGTTAGAAAATGAAAACGAATCCTTAACATTTCCCTTTCTGCCCCCTCAGTCTATCATAATGTCCTATTTTGCATCTGAAATTATCTCTTGAAGCCACCTACTCTGGTCATCTCTGGCATCACTCTTCTCATCAAAGCTATCATTGTCTCTTAGCTGAATTACTGTAGTAGCCTCTAACTCATCCAGAGAATTTACTCTGGCCTTTTCTCAGCCATTCTCCATATTGGAGCTAGTTATATTTGCAAAACACAAATATGATCATATGATCCTATCACCACTCCACCCCCATCCTGGCCTGGTTAAAACTCTTCAGTGTCTTCACTTTTATAACAAACTGAGCACTTAAATATTCCAAGCACTTAGAACAATATTAAGTGCATAATAGGTGCTCAACAAATATTGATGAAACAAGTGAAAGAGTATGACCTTCATCTACACTCCTGCTTTCTCTAACTGAGAATTCCAGCCACCTTGACCTCCCTTCAGTTCTATATTCCCTATAATCACTTGGCTTTGCACATGTTGTTCCCTCTTTTTCATGCCTTCTCCCTTTCCTCCTTAAGCAAGTTCTTTACTACCTTCTTCCTTCAAATCAGACTTTAATCATCATGTCTCCAGAGCAGGCTTCCCTCATTGCATCATGCGCCTCTTCTCCACAGTGCTTGTCACACTTGCAGTTTTACACATGCTTATGTGATTATTTTACTGATGTCCACTACCCTGCCCTATTAGCTTGCAGCACTATGAAGACAGAGACTGTGTCTGTTTTCCCTCATCAATATATCCCAGGTACTTAGCACAGTGTTTGACATTCGGTAGACACTCAACAAACAGTTAATAGATGAATGAATGCATTATAAATTGGTATTCAAAGTGCCCACCTATTTTACAATTCTATTTTAATGTAGCCCTGAAACCTAGAAACTCATATGAGAGGCAAATTACAGAAGACAATTCTTTTTCTACTCTTCTTTTTTCTTTGAAAGTCTTTGTTAGAGTCTGAAGTACAACTATTGGGCTTCCAGGATACAATGTTTTTAAATATTATTTCATTTGAGTTCTTATAGAAACTTTGTTTAAAAACAAACACTTCAAAAATAAAGAACAGAGGGCAGTAGAATTTGCCATAATTCACCCGAAAAAATAAAAACTTTTCTAACCTAAAGCAAAATCTCTCTTACTACCAATGAAGTATATAGACGTACCCCTGCCACGGATGAAAACCTATTTAATTTTTAAATATGAATAAGAAATGATGATTCTTGAGGCTTATCTGTGAGCTTGCAAGATATTTGTTTTGAAGAACTTGCTATGTTTTAAGCATCAACACATGCAGTTTGTCGATATGTCTGACATTCCCAGGTAAAAGTAAAACTATTAGGCTATATATTTTTTAAAAGTCTTATGCTAATGTGGTTCTTTAGGAATGATGTGATATGGTTTGGCTGTGTCCCTACCCAAATCTCAACTTGAATTATATCTCCCAGAATTCCCACATGTTGTGGGAGGGACCCAGGGGGAGGTAATTGAATCATGGGGGCTGGTCTTTCCTGTGCTATTCTCGTGATAATGAATAAGTTTCACGAGATCTGATGGTTTTATCAGGGGTTTCCACTTTTGCTTCTTCCTCATTTTTCTCTTGCTGCTGCCACGTAAGAAGTGCCTTTCACCTCCCACCATGATTCTGAGGCCTCCCCAGCCATGTGGAACTGTAAGTCCAATTAAACCTCTTTTTCTTCTCAGTCTCAGGTATGTCTTTATCAGCACTGTGAAAATGAACTAATACACCATGTCTTATTACTCTTTTGTAAAATATTTTGTGAATAAGTAAAGAAGTTTCTTGCCACATTGCAGGCCAGAGCCAGTGCCATCCATTGTAGACACTGCTGCCCATATGGGAATGAATTATCAGAAATGGGGAAGTCTTAACACACTTAGGGCATGTCTTTCCTCCATGGAGTGAAGATTTGATGTAATTATGTTACATTTTTGGATAACTTATGGTGGAGTGAAGATGGAATGTGGAGTGCACTTTAATTAAAGACTAAGTCAGAATTGTACTCACCCCTATCCCACAACTTAGGTGCAGAGTTGAGTTAGTAATACTCAATTCATGGCACTCCAGCCTAATAGGTTGGTGCTAGATCTCTCCCTTGTTCTATTTCTTTCTTTTATTCAAGATCCTGTCACCCATTCTTCTCCCTACTCACTCTAATATGTTTATTATATATATTATTGGATGTGTGTATATCCTTATAAAATACAACGGCCTGCAACGCTGTCCATGATCTGGCACTAGATAACCCTCTTACTTCATCTCCTCCCCTTCTCCCCTATCTCATTCTACTCCAGCCACGCTGGCCTCCTAGCCACTTCCTGAACTTACTAAACGTACCTCAGGGACTTTGTACTTGCTCTGTTTTTTTCTGCCTGAAATATGCATTGCTCAGTTATCCACATGGCCCACTCCATGTATTTGTTTAAATGTCTCTTTATGTTAAAAATCGGGGAGGAAACTTCCCTGTCTTATTTTAAAAAGTAACATACCCCCTTGTCACTTTCTGTCTCCATACTGTGATTTATTTTTCACAGTTGCAGTTATTGCCTCACCAGAGAAACTTTTTTGTACCTATATTTTTTTTGTCTATCTCCTCTTACTAAAATAAGAGGCAATAGGACATCATGGTTAAATCCTAAAAACCCTAAAGTTAGACCTACTAGGCTTGAATTTTCACTCTGCTATTTACTATGTGACCTTCAGCAGGTAATTCTCAACTCTAAAATAGGGATGATAATAGTATCTGCCTCATAGGGTTGCAATTTTACCTGGCACACAATCCACAAAATTTAAGTATTATCTATTGTCATTATTATTACATTTATTTTATTATTAGAAATAAGCTCCATGAAGTCAAGAACAAAGTTTACTTTGTATCACCAGTGACTGGACAGTACCTAGCAATAGCACTGAATATTTATTAAGTGAATGCTATTTTGCAAGTGCATGGTTTTTTCAAAGAAAAAAAAGTTTATTAAGTATAACATGCATACAGAAAACTGCACTAAGTCAAAATTGTACAGCTCTATGAATTTTCTTTTTCTTTTCTTTTTTTTTTTTTTCTTGAGACAGAGTTTCACTCTTGTCACCCAGGCTGGAGTGCAATGGCGCCATCTCAGCTCACTGCGACCTCCGCCTCCTGGGTTCAAGCGATTCTCCTGACTCAGCCTCCTGAGTAGCTGGTATTACAGGCGCCTGCCGCCATGCCCAGCAAATTTTTGTCTTTTTAGTAGAGACAGGGTTTCACCATGTTGGCCAGGCTGGCCTCAAACTCCTGACCTCAGGTGATCCATCCGCCTCAGCCTCCCAAAGTGCTGGGATTACAGGCATGAGCCACTGCGCCCGGCCAGCTCTATGAATTTTCACAAAAAACAAACCCATGAAACCACCAGCCATATTAAGAAATAAAAACATTATTAGACCTCTAGAAGGCCTGTCCCAGTTACTACAGCTCACTTCCCAAAGGTAACCACTCTCTTGACTTCTATGATTATAGATCAATTTTGCCTAGTTTTGAAATTTTTGTAAATAGAATTATATATTATATACTCTTTAGTAACTGACTTCTTTCATCTGTGTAGCACACAACAGTCATTCATTCATTCTCATTGCTGTATAGTATTCCAGCAAATACTGTATTCCAGTACAGTATTCCAGTGTGTGACTATGTCACCATTTATTTATCCATTTTGTAGTTGATAGACACTTGGGTAAGTAGTTCCCAGTTTGGAACTATTATGAATGGTGCTACTATGAATATTCTCATCCATGTCTTTGGGACACATAGGTAAGCATGTATATATACTTAGAAGATGAATTGCAGCAAAGTAGGGCATACTTTTGTTGAACCTTACTAGATCCTGCTTATCTTAGTCTGTTCAGGCTTCTATAACAAAAACACCATTACATGGATAGTTTATAAACAGAAATTTATTTCTCATAGTACTGGAGGCTAGAAAGTCCAAAATCAAGACACTGGCAGATTTGGTATCTGATGAAGGACTGTTTTTTATAGATCTTCTAGCTGTGTCTTTATATGGTGGAAGGGGCAAGTTTTAACCTTTTAAAGTTCCGGGGTCCCTCTTATAAGAACATTAATTCCATTCATGAGGGCTTCACTCTTATGACCTAATCACCTTCCAAAGTCACAACCTTCTAATACCATCACCTTGGGGGTTAGGTTTCAACACATGAATTAAGGAAGAGAATGGGACACAAACATTCAAACCATAGCACTGCTGAACGATTTTCCCAAGTGCTTGCACCAGTTTTCACTCCTAACAGCAGCATGGGAAAGTACCAATATATGTGTTTTTCTAAGCAACATAAATATTGTATTAGGTTTTGTTATTTCCCACTGTTTTCACTGAATATTGTGTTTCTAAGATCTATATATGTTGCTATACATTTATTCCTTCCAACTATTGCATGGCATTTGATAGTATGCTTTCATCATTGAATTCTTTTTCTGAATTTTTTTGAAAGGTGCTTGTCAGTGAAGCAGGGCTTTTGTTTGCCTTCCCTGCATTGATTCTTCTCTTCTCCCATTCTGACAGAATTACCTGCATTTCAGCCACATAGTCAAGTGTTCCAGCCTCAGCCCCTAAAGGTGACTCTTCAGTCATCTAAACCAATCAGGATACTTTTATTTCCTTTATGACCCTGTTCTGGCCAGTGAAACTTGAAGGGAAGTCTATACAGAATGGGACAGTGGGGAAGTTGCTTCTGAAAAAGGTTTCTTCATTCTTCTACAGAAACACAAGAAAGAGATCCTCTTTTCTTACCTCTAGATGTTAATGGGAGACTATGATAACAGGAATTACTGCAGCCAACTTGTGACCAGGGAGGCAGTTAGATAAAAGATGAAGAAACTTTGAGTTCCTCATGATACCACTAAGCCAGGAACCACCCTACCTCAAGATTTGTTAGATAAGAAAATAGTTTTAGTTGGATTTTCTTATTTGCAACCAAAAGGGTCCCATTATAATAACGAAACCACTTGCATTAACTTGTTTGTTAAAAGGCATTTTGTATTAAACAGACCATTTTTCAGTCCCTCTATTTTGTTTTAAATAATTTCAATTTGATGTCCCTTATTGACTATGAGGTTAATTTTATGACACTGAGACCATCGAACAAATGGACGTCTTATTCAACTTACTGGTCGGCATTCTGCAATCTTTTTATTCACAATTTCAGAAGAACATAGTTGATTTTGAACACATGATCTGCCAAGTAAAGGATATCATGATACATTTTGAGTTAGTGTTTTTAATCTTGTATTTTAGAAAAAGTATGGTAAGCCAAAATTTTCAGATATACTATTAGTCATATCTTCTATAATAAACAAATTTTATAAATTTTAAGACTTTTTTTCATTTTAATTTTGGGGTAGGCAATACATACATTGATACAATATACTCAGCATTGTCACTTCCATGGGCTTCTGGTTTATTTGACCAGTCTTTTCTAGACTAATATTTCAGTATTTCATCTTCACACAGTATAAAATAATATAATTACATGTGATGAAATACCTATTCTGCATTAGGCACTGAGCTTGAACCTCTGCAAGCATTATTTAATTATACTTCTGGGAGGTATTTTTATTTTATTTTTTAAGAATATGAAACTGAGGCTCAGAGAGATTAAGTAACTTACTCTAGGATTCGCAAGTGAGAAGCAGAGCTGGAATTTTAATCCACACCTATTAGATTACAGAACTCATACTCTTAGCCACTTTGTCATACAGCTACTCCAACTTTTTACTATGATAATCATTGGCATATTTAAGGCTAAATGGGAGGCTCCACTAAAAAGATTTAACTTTTTAAAGTAAGCTGAAATAATAATTAATCATATCGAACACTTACTGAGTACTTTCCATTTGCTATGTAACCATTTAAGAGCTCTTATCAACCAATTTACTCCTTGCAAGTTTATTCTTAGATAAACAGTGAATTATATGGGAATAAATAGGGTAGCAATCTGAAAATCAATTGATATTCTGATCATCTTTAACACAGAAATAAACTGGAGGACAATACATTGTTTTGTTCTATCATTTGGGAACTTTTTCCATTGCAAGAGACCAAGAAAAAAATGTCAAATCAAACTGACTTAAGACCCTCAAAAAGACTATTGGCTTGCATAACTAGGAAATCTCTAGAGGTAGAGCTCTTCCAAACAGGGCTGGATTCTGGGCTCTATAATGTCCCACAGCTTTTTTCTAACTTTTGGCTGTATCCCACCCAGTTACCTGATTTTGTTGGCTTCTTTCTCAGACTCTATTTAGTGGGCCCTGGCACCTCCAAGTTCCTCCCTCCTGATGGTAAAATAAGAGGAAGCAGCTCCCACCTCTTGTATACTCAAGTTCAAGGCCAGAAGGACTTTTCCAGCAGACCGAAAATTACTTTGATTTCCCTGTCTTAAGTCCCTGCTCACCTCTGAAACTATCGTGTGGCAAAGGAGAGGCAAATCCCCCATTGCGGTGAGAGAGAGGAGTCACTGGCTCTACCTCTGGAACTAAAGGGTGAGGCTCCAGCCATATCAACTGGGAGGAGGGGTAGAAAGGTAGATTCTCAGAAGAAAATCAGTAAAATGGGTACTATTGTAGATCGTCCCCCAGAGAACCATGCCTCCTACTATTCACAACCTGCCCTCAAATCTGGGCTGGCCCTATGACTATCTTTTCTAACAGACTTTTTTTTTTATAATAGTTTTAGAAAAAAATTAGGCCATAGTACAGAGAGATCCCATGTATTCCTTCACTCAATTTCTCCTATAATTATCATCTTACAACTGTGTGGTACATTTATTATAGTTAGTGAACTCATATTTATACATTATTAATAACTAAGGTCCACAGTAGTTTATTTAGATTTATGTAGTTTTTTGTCTAATATTGTTTTTTGTTCCTGTATCTTATCTAGACTATCACACTACATTTACTTGTCATGTTTCCTTAGACTTCTCTTGGCTATGACAGGTTCTCAGATAGACCTTCTTTGTTTTTAATAACCTTGACAATTTTTAGGAGTACTGGTCAAGTATTTGTTGGATGTCCCCTATCAGAACTTGTCTGATGTTTTTCTCATGATTAGACTAGGGTTATGAGTTTTGGGGAGGAGGACCATAAAAATAAAGGGTCATTTTTATGACTCTAATCAAGAATATATACTGTCAATATGATTTATCACTGTTGATAATGGCCTTGATCTGTGGCAGCAGTACTCTTTTTCACCCCCAACCCCATACTGTACTCTTAAGAAGGAAGTTACTATAAGCAACCCACACTTAAGGAATGGGTATTTATGCCTCCCAAGACTAAACCAGGAAGACGTTGAATCTCTGAATAGACCAATAACAGGTTCTGAAATTGAGGCAATAATTAATAGCCTACCAACCAAAAATGTCCAGGACCAGAAGGATTCACAGCCGAATTCTACAAGAGGTACAAAGAAGAGCTGGTAGCATTCCTTCTGAGACTATTCCGATCAATAGAAAAAGAGGGAATCCTGCCTAACTCATTTTATGAGGTCAGCAACATCCTGATACCAAAGCCTAGCAGAGACACAACAAAAAAAGAGAATTTTAGGCCAATATCCCTGATGAACATCGATGCAAAAATCTCAATAAAATACTGGCAAACCGAATTCAGAAGCACATCAAAATCTTATTCGCCATGATCAAATTGGCTTCCTCCCTGGGATGCAAGGCTGGTTCAACATATGCAAATCAATAAACGTAATCCATCACATAAACAGAATCAATGACAAAAACCACATGATTATCTCAATAGATGCAGAAAAGGCCTTTGACAAAATTTAACAGCCCTTCATGCTAAAAACTCTCAATAAACTAGGTATCGATGGAAGGTATCTCAAAATAAAAAGAGCTATTTAGGACAAACCTACAGCCAATATCATACTGAATGGGCAAAACCTGGAAGCACTCCCTTTGAAAACTGGCACAAGACAAGGATGCCCTCTCTCACCACTCCTATTCAACATAGTATTGAAAGTCCTGGCCAGGGCAGTCAGGCAAAAGAAAGCAATACAAGGTATTCAAATAGGAAAAGAGGAAGTCAAATTGTCTCTGTTTGCAGATGACATGATTGTATATTTAGAAAACCCGATCGTCCCAGCCCAAAATCTCCTCAAGCTGATAAGCAACTTCAGCAAAGTCTCAGGATACAAAATCAATGTGCAAAAATCACAAGCATTCCTATACACCAATAACAGACAAACAGAGAGCCAAATCATGAGTGAACTCCTATTCACAATTGCTACTAAGAGAATAAAATACCTAGGAATCCAACTTACAAGGGATGTGAAGGATCTCTTCAAGGAGAACTACAAACCACTACTCAAGGAAATAAGAGAGGACACAAACAAATGTAAAAACATTCCATGCTCATGGATAGGAAGGATCAATATCATGAAAATGGCCTTACTGCCCAAAGTAATTTATAGATTCATGCTATCCCCATCAAGCTATGACTGACTTTCTCCACAGAATTGGAAAAAACTACTTTAAACTTCATATGAAACCAAAAAAGAGCCTGCATAGCCAAGATAATCCTGGGCAAGAAGAACAATGCTGGAGGCATCACGCTACCTGACTTCAAACTATACTACAAGACTACAGTAACCAAAACAGCATGATACTGGTATCAAAACAGATATATAAACCAATGGAACAGAATAGAGGCCTCAGAAATAAGACCACACATCTAGCACCATCTGATCTTTGACAAACTTGACACACACAAGCAATAGGGAAAAGATTCCCTGTTTAATAAATGGTGTTGGGAAAACTGGCTAGCCATATGCAAAAAACTGAAACTGGACCCCTTCCTCACACCTTATGCAAAAATCACTCAAGATGGATAAAAGACTTAAACGTAAGACCTAGGACCATAAAAATCATAGAAGAAAACCTGGGCAATAACATTCAGGACATAGGCATGGGCAAAGACTTCATGACTAAAACACCAAAAGCAATGGCAACAAAAGCCAAAATTGACAAACTGGATCTAATTAAACTAAAGAGCTTCTGCATAGCAAAAGAAACTATCATCAGCATGAACGGACAACCTACAGAATGGGAGAAAATTTTTGCAATCTATCCATCTGACAAAGGGCTAATACCCAGAATCTACAAAGAATTTAAACAAGTTTACAAGAAAAAAGCAAACAACCCCATCAAAAAAATGGGCAAAGGATATAAAAAGACACTTCGCAAAAGAAGACATTTATGCAGCCAACAGATATATGAAAAAATGTTCATCATCACTGGTCATTAGAGAAATGCAAATCAAAACCACAATGAGATACCATCTCATGCCACTCAGAATGGTGATCATTAAAATATCAGGAAACAACAGATGCTGGAAAGGTTGTGGAAAAATAGGAACACTTTTACACTGTTGGTGGGGATGTAAATTAGTTCAACCATTGTGGAAGACAGTGTGGTGATTCCTCAAGGATCTAGAACTAGAAATACCATTTGACCCAGCAATCTCATTACTGGGCATATACCCAAAGGATTATAAATCATTCTATGACAAAGACATGTGCACACTTATGTTTTCTGCAGCACTATTCACAATAGCAAAGGCTTGGAACCAACCCAGATGTCCATCAATGATAGACTGGATTAAGAAAATGTGGCACATATACACCATGGCATACTATGCAGCCATAAAAAAGGATGAGTTCATGTCCTTTGCAGGGACATGGATGAAGCTGGAAACCATCACTCTCAGCAAAGTATTACAAGATCAGAAAAGCAAACACCGCATGTTCTCACTCATAAGTGGGAGTTGAACAATGAGAACACATGGACACAGGGAGGGGAATATCACACACCAGGGCCTGCGGGGGGTGGGGGGGCTACAGGAGGGATAACATTAGGAGAAATACCTAATGTCGGTGACAAATTGATGGGTGCAGCAAACTACCATGGCACGTGTATACCTATGTAACAAAACTGCACATTCTTCACATGTAACCCAGAACTTAAAGTATAATAATTTTTAAAAAAAAGGAATGGGTATTTATGCTTCCCCTCCATGAGGATGCAATATCTACATAAAACATTTAAATTCTTCAAGGGATGTTTGTCTATTCTCATCCATTTATTTATTCATTTATTTGATCATTTGTGCAAAGATTCCTAGCCCATACTTTGGGCTATAATCTAACACTACTTTATTTTTTTGTTGCTGAAATTGTTCCAGCTTTGGCCATTGGGAGCTCTTTCAGTTGGCTCCTATGTATGACTAGCTTTTTGACAAATAGAATGCAACAAAACTGAGGATGCATGACCTTCAAAGCTAGGTCATAGAAAGTCTTGCAGCTTCTGCCAAGGTCTCTTGAATTCTCACTCTGGAGGAAACTGCTCTCATAAAAACTCTAACTACTCCACAGTTACACTGTAACATTGCGATGAATCTGAAGATAGTCATGTGAAAAGGCCATGTGGACAGAGAAAGATACCAACCTCTGGCTCTTCCAGTCATTCCAGAAGATGAGCCAAAGATGTGCATCAGGAAGCCATCTTAGATATCCACCCCAGGCAAGCCTTCAGATTACTCTAGCCCCAGCCACCATCAAACCACCACCATATGAGAGTTCCCAAACAAGAACTCCAAGCTGAGTTGAGCCTGGTCAACCTACAGAGCCATGAGCAACAGCAGTGAATTGTTTTAAGCCACTAAATGTTGGGGTTTTTGTGATGTCACAGAAGACAACTGAAACAGATGCAAAAATCTACTAGATATAATATTAACTGCCAACCTAGCACAAGTTTTATTAAACATATATAGTGTTGGCATTCTTGTTTCATTGCCCAGAAAGAATCATTTATCCACACATACATGGCAAAATGTTAATGAATCTTTTTCTTCTCACATAATAAAGTTATTTAACTTCTGGAGGCCTTCAGGTGACATTCTGATTAAAAATGTTGCCCCACACAGATAGTTAGGCTTTCTAAAGATATTAATGTCAGTTCAATACCAGTAATATTTGTCTTGAGTAACTCTGCTGCTTGCCTAACAATTAGTCATAGCAAAGTAGACTTTTGAACAGAATTTTCAGGCAGCAGAGTCTTTAAGAACACAGAAACCTGAAATGTTTCCCAGCGTCATGGTAGGAAATGTATTTCTACATCTGAGCCAATCTAAACTTCTATTGGCACCTTTACATGGGATTGGGGAACACAGGTCTCCATTCTACCACAGGGAAGAAGTCATTGCTTTTCTACATGCACTGTACATTTCCGGGAGTTAATGTGGTGGGGATTGTGGGGAAAGAAGCCAAAATATGGCTCCAGAAGAGATAAGATTATTAGTGTCAAGACTAGATTACCAGATTCAAAGAGGCTAGGTCACATCTATTTTTTCCACAAGGGAAGGTAGATCAGATTTCCATTTTATTCCTGACTCTCCTCTCTTTATTCATATTTCCTCCCTATCATTGAGAACAGTTTGCTCTCAGACATTTTATTTACAAATACATTTAAATTTCATTAATACATATTTGTTTTGTCTAGAATTTGCAATTATTTGACTTGGCTTGGGTTTAAGTTTATCTTGGGATAATGAACATAAGTATTGGCCTAACAAATTAACAGGGCAAACAAGACTAAGAAGGGCTTATTTCAAAATAGTTAAGATCAAAATATTTGTATGGTCTTAAATATTAATTGTGTATATACAAACAGGTATTGCTAATCTGCAACCAAGTCTTACCTATTCACTAGAGATTCAGCTTGAAAACAGTTATCAATTAAAGTTTCCTAAGCAATAAAAATAATACGTTTTTAAATATTCACCAAGCAAGGCCACTAGAGAGTCTAGAGACAGAGACTCCTTCAGGGCAGTGATAGTGCCCTGGCACCTAAACATGTAGATTGGACCTCAGGAGGTACTCAGTAAATGTTTACTGAATGAATTAACAATGATTCAGACTTCACTGGTTTAAGTACAGGGATATGTATAATATAGAGGTCTCAAATGGCAGTTTATGGGCCAAATTCAGTCCATAGTCTTATCTGGTGTGGCCTGCATATTGTTATATTTTGTTTTTATTTTCTTAAAAAGGGAATAAATTCATTTAGTTCAAAATCTTTTTTAAAAAAGTGTTTACTGTACAGTAAATAGTCTCACTCCCACCTCTCTCAAGGTCATCTCTTATATTAGTTTCTTGTGTATTCTTCTATTGTCTCTTTAGGAAAATTCCAAAAAAAAATGCATTGATAGTCTTATTTCTCCCCTTTTTACAAAGGTAAAATATATTATACATCCTGCTTTTTCTCTCTCTCTTTTTTTTTTTAACTGAAAATAAACTTGGAGATCTTCCCTATCTTCCTAAACCAATCAGTTTCACTCTGCCTTTCATGCCCAGACATGGTAGGCATTTGAATTCCAGATAGAGTAATATTTTCAAATGCAGAGTAGGCAAAGAGAGCTGTTTTGCCTAGTTCATCATACCAAAGTAGCTGAGCAGGGATGGGGAAGCCACTTCCATATTAAGAGGTCCTAAACACAGTGCGCACATCCTACATACTAGTTACACGGAATGAATTGCAAATATAGTATCCACAGACTGGTAGCGGCTCCACCCCCTGCTTTACACACACACACACACACAAACACACAGACACACACGGACCTGGAAATGCTAAATCAGTGACAATGCCAGAATTTCTAAGTGAGAAATTCTCAACATTCCCTTTTATTTTTTCTAGGTACCTAATTCCTCCCACCTTCATCCCACCCCAATTCCCCCCATTCCACTCTTTACACTCCCCATATTACACCTTCCAGAGATAAATTCACCAGATGTAGTATTTTCTAGACTTCCCTAATCACAAGAATTTTAGGATTCCTTGTTAAAAATACAGATTCCCAGCTCCATCCCTTGGAGATTATAATTTAGGTCAGAACCTTTGCTTTGGGGATCAGACAGTTTTGGGAAGACTGTTCTAAGATGTTGCTAGGTACTTTCTCATAATTGCGTTGAAACAGTTCTCTTAGGAAGAGGTAATCATAATTAGACAGAGTACCTGATTATGATGTGTTTCCTTGTTGCTATATTTTTACTATATCAATTATTTAAAAAAATTTTAATTAATGGAAAAAACTGTATGTATTTACTGTGTACAACATACTGTTTTGAAGTATATATATATACTTAAATATATTTTTTATATATACTTATTTTATATATATACTTCAAAATATATATTTTGAAGTATATATAAAATAAGTATATATAATATATAAAATATTATATATATCTTGAAGTATATATATACTTAAATATATATATATATATATACTTAAATATATATATATATATATATATACTTAAATACAACTTAAATGTCCATCATTGAATGAACGGATGAAGAAAAATGTAGCATATAAACACAATGGAATACTACTCAGCCATACAAAAGAAGGAAGCTCTATCATTTGTGACAACATGGATGAACCTAGAGACATTAAATGTATGTATTAAGCCAGGCATAGAAAGACAAATACCACATGACCTCAGTTATATGTGAAAACTAAAAATGTTAATCTTATAAAAGTAGAGAGTAGAATGTGGTTATCAGGGGTCGGGGTGGTTGGAGTGGGTGTTGGGGAGATGCTGGTTAATGGATACAAAATTTCATTTAGATAGGAGGAATATGTTGAAGAGATCTATTGTACAGCAGGGTGACTATTGTTAACAGTATATTGTATTCTTGAAAAATGCTAAGAGAGTGGATGTAGGGTTCTCACCAAAAAAGAAAAAAAACTATGTTAGGTAATGCATATGTGAGTTAGATTAGTTTAGGCATTCCATTATATATATATATAATGGAATATATAATGGATGCATACACACACACATATGTGTGTGTGTGTGTGTGTGTGTGTGTGTGTGTGTGTGTGTGTGTATGATATATACCCAGTAGTGGGATTGCTGGATCTTATGGTAGTTCTATGTTTAATTTGAGAAACCTCCATACTGTTTTCCATAATGGCTGTACTAATTTATCTTCCCACCAACAGTGTGTGAGAGTTCCTTTTTCTCCACATCCTCATCAACACTAGTTATCTTTTCTCATTTTTATAGTAGCCACTCTAACAGACGTGAGGTGATGATATCTCACTGTGATTTTAATTTGCATTTCCCTGATGATAAATGATAGTGAGCATTTTTCATATACCTGTTGGTCATTTGTATGTCTTGTTTTGAGAAATGTCTATTGGGGTACTTTGCCCACTTATTTTTTAAAATTTATTATTTATTTAGAAACAGGGTCTCACTGTGTTGTCCAGGCTGGCCTCAAACTCCTGGGCTCAAGCAATCCTCCTGCCTCAGCATCCCCAGTAGCTGGGACTACAGGCACATGCCACTGTATCCAGCTTCTGCATTTTTTAATTGGGTGATTTGTTTTCTTGTTATTCGGTTGTTTGAATTATTTCTTTATTTTGGATAGTAACCCCTTATCAGATACATAGTTTGCTAATATTTTCTCCCATTATGTAGGTTGTCTCTTCAATCTGTTGTTTGTTTCCTTTGCCACATAGAAACTTTTTAATTTCATGTAATCCCATTTGTCTATTTTCACTTTTGTTGCTGATGCTTTTGGGGTCATGTCTAAAAAAATCATTGCACAGACCAATGTCATGGAGCTTTTTCAACTCTATTTTCTTCTAGTAGTTTCATAGTTTGAGGTCTTATGTTTAAGTCTTTAATCCACTCTGATTTGATTTTTTTATATGGTATGAGATGCAGATCTAATGTGATTCTTCTGCATGTGAATATCTACTTTTCCCAGCACCATTTCTTGAAGAGATTGCCCTTTCCCTATTGTTTGTTCTTGGTATCTTTGTTGGAAATCATTGTCTGTATATGTGTGGATTTACTTGGGGGCCTTCTATTCCATTTCACTGGTCAATATGTTTGTTTTTATGTCAGTAGCATGCTGTTTTGGTTACCATACCTTTGTAGTATATTTTGAAGTCTGGTAGTATGATACCTCTACCTCTACACTTTTTGTTCAAGATTTCTTTGGCTATTCAGAATTTTTGTGGTTTCATAATTTTTTTTTATTTCTGTGAAGAATGTCATTGGTATTTTTATAGGGATTACGTTGATCTCTTTGGGTAGTATGGACATTTTAACAACTTAATTCCCCAAGTCTATCAACATGGGATATCCTTACAGTTATTTGTGTCCTCTTCAATTTCCTTCATCAATATTTTATAACTTTTAGTGTAGAGATCTTTCATCTCCTTAGTTAAATTTATTCCTGAGTATTTTTTGTAGATACTTGTATTATAAATGGGATAGTTTTCTTCATTTCTTTTTCAGATAGTTTGCTGTTAGAGTATAGAAATGCTACTATTTTTGTATGTTGATGTGTATCCTGCAACTTTACTGAATTTGCTTATTAGTGCTAACAGTTTTTTGGTGGTGCCTTTAGGGTTTTCTATACATGAGGTCATGGCATCTGCAGACAGGAACAATTTAACTTCTTTCTTTCCAATTTAGAGGCCTTTTATTTCTTTCTCTTGCCTAATTGCTCTGGCTAGGACCTCTAGTCCTACATTAATTTCTAGTGGCTATTTTAAAGAAATCCTCCTTTAGAGAAGTGGTATATAAAGTTTTTCACAATGATAAATATATAGGATATGAATATTTGTCTGGCACATTTGAGGGAGGCACTCTCAGCCAGAGGCAACAGACCTAGGGGTTTTGGAGGAATGGCAAAGTGGTATTTCGTGGCACAATGTTTGGAAAATTCTGCTTGGATATCTTGAAGGAAAGGGGAAAGGAAACTAGCATTTTTTAGCTCCTGTATGCCTGGCATTATCTTAGAACTAAGACTTTTTCTCTTGTACCACAATCTATTAAGCATAGATAGGTGTGTATTAATTCCTCTATTCTAAAGAAAAACAAACTGAGATAGCCAGATTTAAATCAAATCTCCTCCACAGGTAGTAAGGGCCTAGAACTGAACTGATCTTTTTGGCTTCCAAGTCCAACTTTTTTTTACCATTGCCTCAAATGGTAGCCCATATATATCTCAAAAGCTAAGAAGCATTCAAGAACTCAAATGACACAACTTTTCCTAGGTGCATTTTGGCTTCAACCCTAGTTACTGAGTATTCCAAATACAATCCCATTTGTGGTAGCTAGTCTCCAGGCTGGCTCTCAGTGATCCTGCCTCCTGTTATTCATGCTCTGCTATTTGTCCTCTCACATTGTATCAGGATTGGTCTGTATCACCAGTAAAATACAGAAAGAGTGATGGAATGTGACTTCAAAGGTTAGGGCACTCACTCTGGGGGAAACCAGTTACCATGTGGTGGGGACACTTGAGCAATTCCACAGAAAGGCCCACATGGTAAAATAACAAGTCACGGCAATAAGCCATATTGGAAGCAGGTCCCTCAGCCCCAGTCAAACCTTGAGATGACTGCAGTCCTAGCTGATGTCTTGATTCCAACCTTATGAGACATCCTGAGTCAGAGTCCCCCAGCTGATCTACTCCCAAATTCCTGATCCACAGAAACTATGAAATAATGCATGTTGGTTTTTTTAAGCCACTAATTGTTGTAGTAATCGGTTACACACCAATATATAACTAGTATAGGTTTCTATCATACAGATGAAGAAAAACAAAACAAAAACAGTAGACATTTGCCTCTATTGTTATTTACATTGATATAGACCATAGTCACAAGAGGCAGGAAAAAGCAAGATTTTTGCTACACTTTCCAAATATTATTAACTTTTTAATTTGTTTTATTAAGGACTCGTTCTGAAAATAAAACCAAAATAGCAGTTCGAGGTAACTTCCACTACAAAGTGAAGAAAAGTATCTTTATGGATTTGATGTTTGAACCAGTGTGACTGAGAAATAAAATAATCTACCAAGCGGGCAAAAGTGGTTTTGTAAATTAAGTTCAATGTTGTCATGACATAAAGCATTAGATGACAAACTACTTCTGCACACTAGAGATAAAGCTCATGTTTGCTCATTGGTCTATCAAATAGAAAACAAGGACCATCTGTTAATTACCACCAGAAGACTAGAAAAAGAGAAGATAAATGGAATTTAATCTTCCTCTATCCAAGGTAGATAGACATTTTTCCTTTTTTTTTTTTTTTTTTGGTCATGTTCTGGGAAAAGAAAAAGTCTATAATTGGGCTGAAGAAAGTTTATTAAATCTGATAAATATTTATCCATATAAAATATTTCCAAGGAAGTAATTAACAACAAAGTGGAAATATGGCAAATAGTATCACCACATGATACGTAAGTTTTCATTGTGTTATAGGGATACCAAATATTATCATGGTACACTCATTTGGGCTTAATTTTTGCCAAGCATTTTACAATTATTTTTAGCTCCAATCCATCAAAGCAATATAGTACAATACGTTAATATTCTTACAAGTTCTAATTGAGTAAACTTGGACAGGTGAGATAAGAGCACACATGTTTTATTTGTTTGCTTATTTATAGAGACAAGGTCTCTTTATGTTTAACAGACTGGTTTTCAACTCCTGGCCTCAAGTAATCCTCCTTTTGGGCCTCCCAAAATGCTAGGATTACAGGCATGAGCTACTGTACATAGCCCAAAAATGGTTTTTGAAAGTATTAGGGCTAAGGCCAGGTAATAGCATCTAGCTCTTTACTATGGCAAATCCCAGAATAGGTGTGGAGAAGAGGTGATGAAGAGTAACCTCTTCCCCCTTACCCTCATCCCCAGGCATCTGGTATTCTTATGCTCTTTCCAGCCTGTACTAAATTTTTTAAAGGGGCTGCAAATAATATTGCTTGCTTGCTGTCCATACTTACAGCCTAACTCCCAGCTTTTCATGAGCCTATCCCTACCAGTCATTAACCTAAATGAGGTTGACCAAGCATAGGCCTCCAGGCTACTGCCCGACAGGCAAGTTCATTGCTGGCTATTTCATAAATCTCATGCGCAGAAGAGAAGCATTTCCCTAGGTCTACCCCTATCATTTGTAGGATTGGTGCTAGAGCACAAATGGAAGTCCACATTTAAAAGTTATAAATCAGGTTAATAAAATGTTATCTAAAATATGTTCTATCATCCTATCTTGACAACAAAACTTCATAGCAACAAAAATTGTTTAAATATATGTAAGGCTGTTGGTTTCACATTTCTGAAAATCAGTAAAGTAACAAAGAGTACTGAATGTAATTACTATTGCACCTGTCTAAATAGTGTGTTGATGGATAGTGATATTTGGATGAGTAATGAAGACATCAATAATTTATAAAATACTATTATTTATTCTATTAAATATATTTGTCTTGCTTTTAGTTCACCAAAATTACTAATTATTTGTTATAATCAAGATTCTCACATAATTTGAGCTCTATTAACAAGAAATGTCAAGTCAGACAACCTTTCTTGGTTCAAAATTATTACAGAGTTTTATTAATTATATTTACAGAAACAGCCCGGCTGAGGCAGTGGCAGTTGGAATTGTCAATAAAATTCTTAAAGCAATACTTAGTTCAGAAGTGAACATTAATTTCACATGCCATACTCAAACATGTGATTTTTGCATATGAGAAGTTAACAACCCCCAAAATATTATAAAGTATTTTAATTTCATCATACAGGTTGCTCCAACTGTGAGTTCCACAATCTCTTAAGACAATATGTAGATTCATACAGTACTTCTTGATTCTTCTGCTTTCACATTTTTAACGTTTGGAAAAAAAAGAGTAAGATGTTATTTAATTTATTCAAATCTTTCTTTGGTTGGGAAGATACCTTGATATCTACTGGTCAGAAAATAGACTTTATAAAAATTCATTTCGAAATATTTTTTACATATGAAGCTTCTCCTTCATGGTCATGTGAACATTTTTATTTCCTCATTTTAATTTTCTTGTATTTTTTCAGATTGTCACTTTTGTTATATATTGCACATGAAGTTTCATTCTATCTATAAAACATTTTCTTTACATTTTATGAGTTTTAAAATACTGTTGAAAGTGATATAGCCAAAGTCATATCTGTTTTTTCTAAGCTTTTGCTAATATTATTAACAGCAAGCAAATATATGGATAGATATATTAAAATTTAGTTTCATTATCTGCCAAAATCCACAATTCACTATTTGAAAATTTTTCAGTTGTTTCACCTAACTGCTATTGTACGTTTTGAATTTTGTTTAATTGTTTTGACAGCATTTCATCAGTATTCCCATTGTATAGCCTAGAGTATTCATTAGATCAAATTTTACATCTTTCTCAAAATGTTCCACATTTGGCCAGATCCTGAAGATATTGTAGGTAATGTTTAAATTGTTCCAAAGAATGTCATCAAATCAGCAGTGTTGAGGCCTTCTGTGTTAGCAATAAATTCAAACTGTGTGCCATAAATGGCATGTACTTCTAGATTTTTCTCCAAAATCCTGGCGTGCTCACCTTTGTTGTTATCCACCATGTTATCACCAGTATCACAGTCTCACTCTAAACAATTTTTTAAATCAGAGTCCAAAATTGAAGTTTTTTTTTAATTCTTCCCTTAGATAAAAACCTATACTTTTTACAATAGGAATGAAACCAATGAAATATTCATTAACGTCAGCTTTTTTATTATTCTCTCCTAATGGCTCAACATAAATAAATGTTACTTATTTAGCAAGACTTATTTCTGCTACAATCTACTTACACTGAGTAATTTTTGTTTTTTAACAATTTTAGGAATAATTTCTTATCTCATTTCCTCATCTCTTACATTAACAATTTTATTTTGAATGCACCATACTAGAGAATCATCTGTTTCAGTTTTTATCCATCTTAAATTTGGGGTCATTTTTTCACCAAATTTCAAAATTATCTCCATAAATCTTTGATATTTTCCATTAAGTTCTGTAAATACTGTGCTGGTATGTATGCCATGAAATACATCATTAAGCTTGGCTGAATATTGAATATATAATATTCTTTTTTTACCTCCTATGATCTTGTCTGAAAATATTATTCTTTAAAGAATATTATTCCATACAAATTTTGTCAATTATACCGAAATAAACCTGAAAAAAATTATTCCCATGTACTAGTTTGATATTTACTTTTATTTCTTGAATACTATCAATTGTTTGCTATTTATTTCACCCTTTTTCAGTTCTAGTAATTATATCTGTAATTTTTTGTGTTTAAAGGGAATTTCATAAAATTCTAATTGACAATTTAAGTGTTTTCTGTCACAAAACATTCAATGGCTAATAGGAGTTTGTAAAATCTCCTATTTGAAAGAATTTGGAATAAAATATTAAAAGTTCTGCCTTGTTAATGTAATAGAAAATCCTAATCATTCATTTGAATTGGAATGTGTTTTCCTAGCAATATTCTCACATTCTCAGAAGGAGAATATCTCCATTTTCAAGATCATCATCCAGTCAAATGTTCTGGAGGATTTCTTCCCTAATTTTCTGATTTCAAGACCTTTATTTTCTCCATCTTCTAACAGGCAGGTCGCAGTTGCTTTTGTTGTCTGGGTTATGAAGTTGATATAAATTTGAGTCTCTTTTTTATTCTCATGGTTTTAATTAGTAATTAAATCTTCATTTAATAAAGAATATAAAGTTGCAAGGATATTTTGGTCTGACCTGTTTACATTGTAGATTTGATGAGAATAATGTTCTTGTTAATTTCCATTATTTTGAGTAGTTAAATCTTCATTAAATAAGAACTTGTGTGATCTCTTGTTTGCAAATTCTATGACAGTCATGCTCAACAGAAGTTGGCTCATTTACATTGTTTCCACATTGTTATTTTTAATTTAAATGAACTCTCTCTCTTAAAAATTTTATATTTCCTGTTTTTTTCCAATCTTTGATTCTTTCTGAACTCTACTTTTAAATTCTGTATTTCTACCACAATTCTCTATTTCTTCACTGGCCCCCATTTTCAATGATCTAAAAGGTCAAACTTATTAAAATTAATAGGTAAAAAAGCTATAACGAATATCAAATTATAAAGCAAAATTAATAATGCTGAAATCTTTATTTTTATTTTTGAAATTTTATTACAAATTTTTGTAAAAATAAAACTATTTGCATTTCCAGTAATCAATGTCCATCTAGTTGCTGATATTAAGGGTTGATACCACACTTTAAGCATATTATATCAAGACATAGGTAATTGTTGTTTTAGTTTTGTTTTGTTTTTTGACAAGGTGTTATTCCATCATCCAGGCTGTGGAGTACAGTAGCATGATCATAGTTCACCTCAGGCTTCCAAGTAGCTGGGACTACAGGCATGTGCCACCACACCCAGCTAATTTTTTCATTTTTGTGGTTTTTTTAGAGACAGGGTCTCACTATGTTGCTCAGGCTGGTCTCAAACTCTTGGCCTCAAGCAATCCTCCTGCTTCTCAGTCTCCTGAGTTGCTAGAATTATAGGCATGAGCCACTATGCCCAGCAGATGCATACAAATTTAAGAGTAAGAGGAATTGTTTAATATTGCAAAATAGTCTTCAGCCACCATACATAACATTTGCAAATACTAAGCATATCTGGAATAATTCCAGACCATGAATTGATTTATATGAAGAGAAGCAAGAAAATGGATGTTTAGCACTAGTGGGAAATGAAACTTTATTATGTAAATACTTATTGCATTTATACTACCAGAAGAAAGATTTGACAAGTTAATTAATTTATCTTTTCTTTTACCTAAGTGCTTCGCAGTCCAAATCCTCCCTGGACCCTGAAGCATTCTGCTTTTCTCATTTGGGATGTAGCATAAATCTACAATACTTCATGGAGTTCGAGTACAATTGCCTTCTGTTTCCAGGAGGCCAGTTAAAAGATGTGGAAAAGAATTTCCCTGGGGCCTAAGTGTTAGTCACAAGGGTGAAAGCTTCATGACAGAGTGCCTGTGGTTTTTAAATCATTTCCTTTTTATATGTTTTATATATTTTTGATTTGGGGACTCTCTGAAGAAGAGGGCCCAGAGTCTCTGTTTTCCAGATCCAAGTATCGTACTGAGCTCACCTGTCTATTTCCTTCTCCTCTTTATTAGTCCATTGTCTCAGAGCACATCAAAATCACTGTCCCACCATAACCCAGTTTAAGGCCCTATTGATTAATCTACACTTTCAGCCACTCTGATTGACTAACTGATTGATTTAAGACAGGGTCTCACTCTGTCACCCAGGCTAGAGCACAGTAGCACAATCAAGGTTTACTGTAGCCTTGACCTCCCAGGCTGAAGCCCTGAGCAGCTGGGACCACGGGTGCATGCCACCATGCCTGGCTAATTTTTTAATTTATTTTTTGTAGAGACAGGGTCTCACCATATTGCCCAAGCCAGTCTTAAACTCCGGGGCTTAAGCAATCCACTTGTCTTGGCCTCCCAAAGTGCTGGGAATACAGGCATGAGCCACCACACCCTACCTCTATGATTTAGTTAGAATGTGAACAAGAAAAGTTCAGACTCTCACATGTTATAAAACTTTACTTGTGGAGACAGCAGAATCCCCTCGAGTAGGGATGGATAGTCCAACTTTACACATGCTGTTCCCACTGCCTGGGACACTATGCTACTTAACTCTTATTTAGATCTCAGCTCAGTTGTAACTTCACAAAGAAAAGCCTTCCTTGACAGCCCCAGTTAGTTCAAATTCTCTCTGTATTGAGCTTCTTGTCTCTGCAGCTTGTTTTTCTATTTAACAGAACAACAATTTTACCTTTGTTTATGTGATGGGACTGATGTGTGCCTCCCTCCATGGAAAGCAACTGACATGACCATGTCTGAGAGTGTTTGACTCACCATTTTATCCCCAGAGCTTAGCCCATGTTTTGCACATAGAAGATACGCAAGATGTAATTAATTCATTCATGGAACTTGCTACGGACTGATTGTTGTGTCCCCCCCAAATTTATATATTGAAGCCTCATCTCCCATGTGATGGTATTGGGGGTGGAGTCTTTGGGGGATAATTAGGTCATGAAGGTGAAGCTTTCATGAATAAGATTAGTGCCTTTATAAGAAAAGACATGAAAGGACTTGCATCCTCTCCCTGCTTCCCACCAGGTGAGGATAAGAGAAGACGATCATCTGTAAACCAGGAAGTGGTTCATAGAAACCAGAAATAGGATCCCCTGGCACCTAGATCTTGGACTTTCCCGGCCTCCAGAACTGTGAGAAATAAATTTTTGCAGTTTAAACCCCCCTAGCCTACGGTAATTTGTTACAGCAACTTGAACAGACTAAGACAGCAGAAAAGGAGTTTGTTAAATTCGGTCAGTTTGGAGAAATGTGGAAAAGCTTCAGATTAATTACAGTCAAACTCAAATGTTCAAGCACTGGTTTTTGGCCCAATCAGAAATCTTACTGAGACTCAGGAGCAGAAAAACGTGTTAATGTGGTTAGAAATAAATTAACAAAAATATGACCTAGAATATGACATTTAAACATGCCAGAAGGCCTGACCTCTACTTGGAATCAATGAGATTATCCTGGCAAAAAAAGTGTACCATCAAGTTCTGAGAAAGGGAGCGTTGGACACCCTGATTTTGTAGTGTTAGAAACAGGGAAGGAAAAAATATGCACTTCTTTTCTTTTCATATGAAAAGAAGGCTAAAATTGCATTGAAGTCTTTACTTCCCACAAAATAGCATTAATCTGTTTTTATTAAAGTAATATATTAGACACAGAGAGCCTAATTCACTTGTTTTTATCAAGTAATGCAGTAGAAGTAGAGGTCCTAGTAACAGACTATTATCTTGCTTGTAGCTGTAAAAAGCATACTTCAAGCAGTTTTATCTGTTGTGAAAAAAAAAATTGCAGATATTTCTGATAAGATTCTGTGTTAAGTTCTTTGGTACAAACAAAACACTTTTCTTTGTGGTTGAGAGGGGCCAAGGAAGGGATCCTATGGAAGCTTTGTCCAGTCTCTAGGAATTACAAATATCACTGCCACATTGCTTTCTACTTGGCCTCAACCAGGAAGAGAAAGATTATTAAAATTGTTCCGTGATTTTCAAGTGCAGAAAGTTTTAACTTTTTCCCTTTACAAAAGTATCATGTAAATATGTTTTCCTCCCCACCGCTACCTTCTGGATTATTTTTTTAGCCATAGGTAAATAAAAAATAACTGAACTTGCTAAGTGCTCATCTTGACACAATACGAGTAAATTCTTTCTTTAAAATAACAAAATAAACTTTTCTACTATTCTAGAGGAAGAACAAACAGGTGGAGACTGATAAAAAGTCACTTGGGGCAAACACTGCTCAATTTTTCTGTAGTATTTTCAGTTCATGGGGATTACAGTTTTAGTAAATATTTTGCCTCCATTGGATGATGATAACTGTGGTTTTTGTTAGCAAATTCATTTCTTGGCTGAACTTACTCTGAAATAAAGAAAACTCTGTTTACTTTTTAATTTTTTCAGTAATGCATTGTGTGTTGCATATGTTTGGATTTTATTAAGAAAAGACAAGGAAAGTAATTTCCATAGGATTTTATTAACTATCCAGGCCTCTGAAAGTAAAGTTGGAAACAAAAAATTTCATCTATCATGTTGCATGTCTTATTTTTTTTTTTAATTCCTACTCCTCTTATTTAACTGGGCTGTTACACAAAATAGGACTGTAAGCTTGACTCATAACATTGCTATGTCCTTAAATTTTTCCATGACCCATATTCTGGATTATCCCTTCAATGCTTTTACGTAGTGAATAATTTTACACCTCTCTAGGACCCAATCTTTCCATTACTGTTCTTTATCTCTGTGTCCCATTTCACAGGTTTTTAGCATGAAGTAGCCATAAGAAGAAAACAATGTTTCAGAGACTCTGAAAGCAAGAGAGATCCGGAAACCTCAGATCTCCCACTAAACTTCAGCCTGTCTGCTAGTATGATAGTATCAATTTATTACTGAAGGTTATTATACATTTGAGCCAAAGTGAAAGAAGAGGTCAAAATAGCTTCCCTACTCAACGTTTCAAACTCAAACTTTATTTAGGTTGTGATTAGCAAAGTGAAACCAGGGGCATCATTTTCACCAAAAATTAGTGCCTTTCACCCTGACCCCACAGAGCTATTTATCCAGAGCCATCATAAAATCATCTAGATATTGACCTCTTACATCCAGGTTTCCTAGCAGTGATCTAATTCCTAGCATATCTGGAGCACAACTTCCCTTTTGCTCATCCCTGTGGCTGCACAAGCAGTAGGGAAGTGGTGTTGAGGATGTCTGGAGGGAAGGACAAGAGATGACATCTGTTCCATCTCCTTTCCCCAGCCATTCTTGGGCAGATTGGGTTACATCTGAAAAATTTCCTGACTTGTTTCCTCCAACATGGTTACCACATAGGTAACCATGATTGTTAGTTAATCCCGGTTATTTAGTCAAACACTAATCTAGGTGTTGCTGTGAAGGTATTTTGTAGATATTATTAACAAACAATCAGTTGACTTTAAACAAAGCAACTACCCTTGATAAGTGGGGGCCCCTCATCCAATCAGTTGAAGGTCTTAAGAGCAGAAAACAGAGGTTTCCTGGAGAAGAAGGAATTCCACAAGACTGAAACATCAACTACTGCCTCAGTTTCTAGGCTGCCAGATTACCTGCCCTACAAATTCTGGACTTATCAGCCCCCACAATCGTATGAAGTCAATTCTTTAAACTAAGTCTCTTTGTATATGTGTAATATACATATTGGTTCTGTTTCTCGGAAGAACCCTGACTGACACAGAGCTTTATTCCATTCTTGCTTCTTCCTCATTGGATTGTATGTCGTGAATTAAAAGAAAGAGTCATGAATAGACCAGCCTGTTCATATTGGGGAACTATGGTTCTAAGAACTACATTCAGTACTTGGGAGGATTCCTGGAGAAAACCAGAACATTGTTTTGTCCAGTGTTTGGCTGTGCACACCTGGTAGATCACTGCACTAGGTGCTTTTACTATAATATTTTTTTACTTGTTTTAAATACTTTGTTGTACGGTATTTGCACTCTAGGCAAGATCTCAAATTTCTGCCTCAATTTTTGACACATGTTTATGATAGAAATTAGATTTTTTTTGTTATATGAACCCATAATCCTTAACAATATGACATATATTTGGGCATCTATGTATTTTGTTTAAACAGCGTTTAGGTATAAATGTACAGTTGTCCTTGGTATCCATGGAAAATTTGTTCCAGGACCGCCAAAGATACCAAAACCTGGAGATGCTCAAGCCCTTTATATAAAATGGCACAGTATTTGCACATAACCTATGTACATCCTCCCATATGTTCTAAATCATCTCTAGATTCTTTACAATACCCAACACAATGTAAATGCTATGTAAATAATTATTAAACTGTACTATTCATAACAATGGAAAGAAAAAATGTCTGTATATGTTCAGTACAGATGTAACCATCCTTCTTTCCCCTTGAATATCTTCAATCCACCCTTGGTTGAATCCACGGATGTGGAATCCAATGATAGGCAAGACCAACTGTTTTTGATGTAATTATATGTAATCCGATCACTTAAGTTAATTTAAAATGAGTAATTCTTTTGAGATGAAGAGGCCATTTTCTAGAAAATTTTGTACAAACTTCAAAAACAAACTGATTTGTGAAAATGGAAAATGCTGATCAGCCAGGCGCAGTGGCTCACACCTGTAATCCCAACACTTTGGGAGGCCAAGGAGGGAGGATTACAAAGTCAGGAGATAAAGACCATCCTGGCTAACACAGTGAAACCCCGCCTCTACTAAAAATACAAAAAAATTAGCTGGGCGTGGTGGCGGGCGCCTGTAGTCCCAGCTACTTGGGAGGCTGAGGCAGGAGAATGGCATGAACCCAGGAGGCGGAGCTTGCAGTGAGCAGAGATCGCGCCACTGCACTCCAGCCTGGGCAACAGAGCGAGACTCCATCTCAAAAAAAAAAGAAAATGCTGATCAATACAGGATCTTATAAATAAGACTAACTTGAAACAACTGAACAGCAGAGCTCTTTAGGCACTAAGCTGGTTTCTTGTGGGCATGCTTTTAGAATCCTAAATACTGGGAGGCATCTATAATTAAAAAAAAATTTTTGTGTGTGAAAAAGTTCTATTAAGTCAGCTAATTTTCAACCATTAAATATTTAGGAACTTCAGAAAGCACACAGTTATACAGATAAACCTCTCTTCATTCATCCTATGATGCTAGAGTTTCTAATGATCCTTAACTAAACAATATCACATTGCTTCCCTCTACTATATTGGATGATGCACATTCTGTATTTCTAATACTTCATATAAAGAAACAAGGAAAACTACCAGATTCTAATAAAATAGGAAATAAAATTCTAATTCAATTAAAATTTCAATGACATATTTTTAAATTTAAATTTCTGACTAATCTTAGAATCATCTAGAATAACTGAATTAAATATTTCTCTTTTGAAAATAGAATGTGAAACAAATGTCATTAAGTTAAAGGACTACAGCAGCAGTTCCCAACCTTTTTGGTACCAGGGACCAGTTTCATGGAAGAAAATTTTTCCACAGATGGGTTGGGGGGTGGGGGGTGGGGGGTGGGGGATGGTTTGGGGATGATTCAAGCACATTACATTTATTGTGCAAAATTTATTTCTATTATTATCACATTGTAATATATAATGAAATAATTATACAACTCATAATGTAGAATCAGTGGCAGCCCTAAGCTTGTTTTCCTGCAACTAGACTGTCTGATCTGGGGTAATGGGAGACAGTGACAGATCATCAAGCATTAGATTCTCGCAAAGAGCATGCAACCTAGATTGCAGGAGCAATTCACAATAGGGTTTGTGCTCCTGTGAGAATCTAATGCAGCTGCTGATCTGACAAGAGGTGGAACTCAGGCAGTAATGTGAGCGATGGGGAGCAGCTATAAGTACAGATGAAGCTCTGCTGCTCACCTCCTGCTGTGCAGCCAGTTCCCAACAGGCCATGGGACTGGTGTCTGTGGCCCGGGGGTTGTGGACCCCTAGAGGACTCATCTATTTATTTACAACTGGTTTAACTTTTGAGATGACTTTTAAATCTGCTGCTTATTTTTTATCAGCATTTGTTCTGCTTTGCTCTCAGAGCCATACTATAAAAGAAGATATCCTTAATTTCTAAGCTTATATTGGCTTAAAATGGAATCCAAGAAATCATACCAATTCTGATATGGGAGGCAATATATTATGGTGGTTAAGTCAAACAGAGCTGAGTACAAATTCTGGCTCTACCACTTTCCAGCTGTGTGACTTTGCCAAACTAACCACTTGCAGCCTTAGTTTCTTTATATGTAAATGAGGATAATATCTTACTTGCTGAGTTATTGAAACACCAAATAAAATTTTAAACATATATATAGAAAAAAATGAATTGTACATATTCCACATATCCATATTTTTATAAAAAGCATTTATCATGGTACTTGGCAAGAGGCACATGCTTAATAAGCGGTAAACATTATTCTCATCTTAAGAGTTTGGAAATCGCATTTACTCAAAAGCATTAAAGTTCTGATCTAAGAAAATGTATCTTCTCATTCAATATATTTTCAAACCAAATGACATTTAAAATGTCTATTTACGTTTATTAGCCTTGTGAAACATAAAAAACAAAAGCTTATTATATAGAAACTTAGTGGTTATAAGCCAGCAGAAATGGACTAAAGTAGAACATGAATTTATGGGAGGGAGTTAGGTACCCCCAGGACCTTTGGGAGAGGTCAGGAATTGAGTTGTTCTGGGGAGTCTAGATATCAGAAGCAGATGAATTTTTTTTCAGAGTTTTGCTGCTTCAATGATTTCATTACAATAGTTTCAGTCATTTTGTCACTCAATAGTCAAACTCCAAGAGAGACCATCCGAGTGATCTAGATTGGTTGAGTGGAATTAGGACCCCTTTATCCACAGTCTCACCTTTGCCTTGCTCCCCCAGAGCAAGTCCAATGGCTATAATACAGAGGGAGGATAAAGGGATGCCAATAAGAAAACAAATGCTCTATATGTACAGAAGTATTGCTTTACATAGTTTTTTAGAAATCATACGTGCTGATATTTATCATAATCACATGTATTGAATAGATAAGGGTCAGAAACTATGATATTTCTTCAATGTCCCAGTACACACAACACATTAACAATAATAGTAGAGATCTTGGGATTGTGGGTAACTGTGATCCTCCTGAATAAGCTAATATCACCGGGAAGTGTTAATGACAAATTTCCATTTCCACGTTTACATTATGAGTGCATTGGGAAAATCTGCTCTCCTTCCCCCTCCCTTTTTCTATCTTGATTTGTTACCTTGGTTTCTGAAAGTGGCAGAAATGGTGGCAATATCTTCCAGATTGAACTCTGAATTTGAATGAGCTTGTTAGGCAGGGAATAATGGTGACTCCCAGAACCTCTACAAGCACCCAAGCTCGTTTATTTACACTGGAAACGTATGAATGATGCTGATTTACTTAAACTTCTTGTAGATGGAAAACTTGATGGAACACTAACACTGTCCAATTTAGACTTTGTTAACTTTCTCAACTACAGTGAAGTGGAAGCTTTTCTAATAGTAACAAAGAATTATATGAGATTCTTTCTTTTAAAAAACATCAGTACTTTACTACAAGGAATTATAGCAATGTACACTTACCAAGTGGTCACTTATTTCAGGAAACAGGAGTGGGTCACATCTTTTAGAGAGTTCCATTCTCTACTTGAAAAAGTGTTCATTAGTAGGTCTTCCCCAAATACTGAAATGTTGGGGAAACTATAAAGTTTCAAGGCAACTTTGCTCACAGTCACAGGGTTAGCAAATAAATGTTTTACCAATGGGAGCAATGCAGAACAACAATTTTTATTTAATTTCCAGAGGTCAAATGCCCTTTTTTGCATTGTCTAGGGATGAAATAAATGGAACCCCTTTTAGAAAATAATTTGACTTCAGCATTAATGAAATGCTCTATAACCTTGTATGCTCAACAGTAATAATCACTGACATCCCTGCCACAATGTCTATGCTTACTTAATCTAAACAGGCCTCCATACCAAGTAATTTGCATTTGGGAGTAAATAAATGAGGTTTGTTCTTCTGATAGTTTGTATTGGGCCCTACTGGTTTAGATTTCAAAATAGTTTTTCTGCATTTTTTCCTTGGTAGTCTATATTGGGAAAAGTTGAATGTGTTCAACTTCATACTTTTCAGATTTGCAAACATGTGTTGGATGTTTACATATCTTCTGCATGACGTCAATGTACAGGAGTATTCCCTTACAAACTTCTTGCAGAAGAGGATTAGCAAGGGGATTAAGAGCATAGATAACTACTTTTTCCACAAGACAAAGTAAGCCATGAAACACAATCAGTACTGGTAGTTAAATTACCTGGAATAAACTTAAATAACCATCTGGGCTTTTATATTGGTGTCAGGATTTTTCAAAACAAGATGGATGTGGTTTTACTTTCCATATAAAATAAACATACCCTATATAAATTTTAATATAAATTTTTGTAACCTTAGAAGAATGAGACACATTTCGTATTTTGTGGCTCACTTCATATATCTTGATGCACCTATACAAATAAAATTAATTTCTTAATCCTTAGCAACATTCAAAAATTTAAATTCTAGTTTTAATTTTAATTATAACTGATATAAATGCTAAGAGGGGTCCTAATATTTTTATATCTCATTTCCTCAGTCTTTACAATAGCAACATTTTTTGTGTGCCCCCAGACAAAGATTTACTGACTCTTGATAATGATGTCAAGTGTTATATAACTACCAGTTGTTATATGATTTTTAAAATCAGCCATATGTCTGAGGACTATGAAAGACATGTGACCACAATATTTGAAAGTTTAACTGAAATTTGTTACAAATGAAAATGGGCCTGTTAAGTTATAAGAAGGTCTGAGGAAAACCCCTTACCTTTTAGTGGAGTATTTATTTTGAGCCTAATTGATGTGAAATTAGAAAATGTTAAAGAAAGACCTTACTTAAGAAATGAAACACAAATAGAGAAGGACAAAAATAGAAAAGTGTTGTCTTTTGGGACTTGTCCCTTAATCAACCCCTAGGATCTGCGCTTTGATAACACTTTGATCTTGGAATTAGGATTTATCTATAGTAAGTCACATGTTCCTCCCATTCCAACTATACTTATTAGGGAATTGAAAATTTTACTTGTCAATATTTGTCAGAGGTCCAGCCGTGAAAGAACTGTGGTGCAGATTAAAATAGATAACCGGCCGGCCTTGGTGGCTCACGCCTGTAATCCCAGCACTTTGGGAGACCAAGGCAGGTGGATCATGAGTTCAGGAGATCGAGACCATCCTGGCTAACACGGTGAAACTCTGTCTCTACTAAAAATACAAAAAATTAGCTGTGCGTGGTGGCAGGCGCCTGTAGTCCCAGCTAGTTGGGAGGCTGAGGCAGGAGAATGGTGTGAACCCAGGAGGCAGAGCTTGCAGTAAACCAAGATTGTGCCACTGCACTCTAGCCTGGGTGACAGAGGGAGACTCCGTCTCAAAAAAAAAAAAAAAAAAAAAAAAACCCAGATAACCAAATCACCATCCAGCACTCTGAGAGAATGTCACCTCTTTCTCCCATTAAGGTTTTACATTATCAAGGGCAATTTCTAGTAATTGATAAGAGAGGGGACAGCAACACTGACCAAAGTTCTCAACTCTTAAAAGCCTGTATATTAAGAATTAAAATAGAAAGGTGAAAGAAAAGTTAGGAAAGATAAAATAATACTAGCACATAAATTTGAGAAAGTATAAAAACAAGACTGTAGATGACATATGCCGTGTGCAGGTATGACAAATATTATTTTGACAAGAGAGCTGTGTCCTGTGTGCATGATGCAGTATAGGAGAAAGGAGATAAGGAGAACCTGAGGTCTGCTTTCAAAATGCTTATCAGCTTGCAGGGTGCAAAATATAAAAACTAACAGGATAAGGCAGGGTATGATAAACATAATGTATGATTCAGTGGCATGTGCACAGAGTTCTGGACTTGGGTTCAAATTCCTAATTTGCCATATACAAAGAATGAGTATAGCATTCTGGTTAGTACTTGAGCTGTGGACTTAGACGAATGTATCACTCATGGTTCAACCAGAGAAAAAACACTACTAGGGGATCTGTGTTAAAAGATTCATTGCTAAGAATTGGCGTACATGATTGTGAGGCTGGCAAAGCAAATATGAAGTCCTTGGGATAGGCCATCATGAAGGGCAGGCTGATCTCCTAGGCAGCTGAAGCTGCAGTCCATAGGCAGAATTTCTTCTTCAGGGAAGCCTCAGCTCTGCTCTTCTACCTTTCAACTCTTTAAGCTAGGTCACCCAGATTATCTAGGATAATCTCCCTTACATAAAGCCAACTAACTATGGACATGAATCACACCTACAAAATACCCTCACAGTAACACCTAGACTAGTGTTTGAATACTACACTGGAGACTATAGTCTATAGTCAAATTGACACATCAGCCTCACCATCAAAACAAGCCTGGATGAAGTTCCCCACAATACCACTTCCTAGCTGTGCGTGGCCTCCAGAAAGTTTCTGAATGTCTTTAAATCCCTATTTTCTCATCTGTAAAATGAGAATAGTAAGAGTAACTACCTCAAAGGATTATTGTGAAGATTAAATAAAATGTTAATGCTCCCTGTAAAGTGGGCCTAGCAATGTGCTCGACATATATTAAATAGTAAGCATTACCATCATTACCCTGTTCATCCTCACTATCTGGATAAGGTTGGCAAATCAGTCCCTTTCTCTGAGCTTCAATTTCCTTATCTGTAAAATCAGCACATTAATACCTAAAACAGGAGTGATAGGAGTATTAAATGAATATATATTATAGGTGATTAAAAAAAATTGTACCAAAAGTGAGTTAGCCACTAGGAAATTGTGGATACTTAATATATTTTCTAAAACATGTTTTCTAAAAATTCAAACAGCAATTATAATCACAGAATTTTTAAAGTGAGTCCAGTTCATAATGGTTTTGTTATATATCTTGCCTTTAGTTTTATAGTAGAAATTCTTTGGTGCCCTGAAAGTACAGTCAAATAGCAATATACACATACACACATATATAATAGAATTTATGGATTTTAAAAAAATAAAAGCTACATCAACATAGGACATTTTAGGAAAATATTTAGGATACTATACTAATATTAGTTTAATTATACCTTTAAAAAATAACTTCAGAGAAGTCATGACTTAGCTGTCTTAGCTGGGGATAAGTCTATGTGAGCTACATTGCTTTCTAGCTGAATGAACTGAGAGAAGTTACTTAGCTTCTCACCTAATAAATCTCTTCATCTTTGAGGCCAGGATAGTGACAGTACCTACTTTACAGGGTGTGGTGAGGACTTAAAAAGCTGATACCCGTAAAATGTTTGGAACCTCCCAGTATATAGGTGTTAGAGCTCTGAAAAGATCATTTAACGTCCTCCTGGAAAGTCGACTAGATGGCTTCCTGTGTGAAATATTACACTCTTCCTCCAGGCTAACAGAAAAGGCTGTTAGAACACCTCTTCCAAATTAAAATTTATTTATTCCTGTATAAAGGACAATTTGGCAGTAATTATTAAAATCCCATCTGCATACATCTCTTCTCCTACCCCCAACCCCCCACTGGAGTTTATCCTACTTGCATAGATCTGTATACAATAATGCACTGCATAACAACAGACTGCATATGAGAGAGTGTCCCATAAGATTATAATGAAGTTGAAAAATTCCTATTACCTAGTGATGATGTAGCCATCATAGTGCCATAGCACAATGCATTACTCATGTGTTTGTGGTGATGCTGGTGTAAACAAACCTACTGTGCTGCCAGTCATATAAAAGTCTAGTACACACAATTATGTATAGTACATGATACTTTATAATGATAATAAGTGACTATGTTACTTGTTTACGTATTAACTATACTATACTTTTCATCACTATTTTAGAGTGTACTCCTACTTATAATAAAAAAAAGTTAACTTAGGCAGATCCTTCAAGAGGTATTTCAGAAGAAGAAGCCATTTTTAATCACAGGAGATCACAGTTGCATGCATGTTACTGCCCCTGATAACCTTCCAGTGGGACAAGATGTGGAAGTAGAAGAGAGTGATATTGATGATCCTGACCCCGTGTAGGCCTAGGCTAATGTGTGTGTTCATGTCTTAGTTTTTAACAAAAAAAAATTTAAAAGTAAAAAAAAAAAAAATGAATACAAAAAAGCATATAGAATAAGGATATTAAGAAAATATTATTGTACAGCTGTATAATATATTTGTGTTTTAAGCTAAGTATTATTAAAAAGTCAAAAAGTTAAAAAAATTAAAAGTTTACAAAGTAAAAAAGTTACAATAAGCTCAGGTTAATTTATTATTAAGAAATAATTTTTTAAATAAATTTGGTATAGCTTAAATGTACAGTGTTTGTAAAGTCTACAATAGTATAATGTCCTAGGCCTTCACATTCACTCACTATTCACTTATTGACTCACCCAGAGCAATGTTCAGTCTTATTGTGGTTCATAGTAAGTGCCCTATACATATGTGCAATTTTGTATCCTTTATACTCTATTTTTACTGTACTTTTTTATGTTTAGGTATACAAATACCTACCATTGTATTATAATTTTGTACAATATTCAGTGCAATAAAATACTGCACAGGTTTGTTATATATACCATATAGCCTAGGTATGTAGTAGGGCTGTACTATCTAGGTTTGTGTAAGTATACTCTATGATGTTTGTACAATGATAAAATCACCTAACAACACATCTCTCAGAAGGTGTCCCCATATGTTAAGTAAAGCATGACTGTATATAATCACATCATGGCGAAAGATAGAAAACAAACCCAGCACCATCAATAGAGGACTTGATTGTCTCTCATTATGATATATAATGGAGTACTATGCAGCTATGAAAAGGAATAAGGAAGCTTTTCATATACTGATATGTGAATATATCCAAGACATAATAAATGAAAAAAGCAAAGAATTCAAAAAGTATAAATGGGTGGAGTGGGAGCTATATATTAATTATATATATTCTCTATATTATCATTATATATGTATGTCTATTTATATGTGAGCAATTTGTGGTAGTAGGACATTGGATGAGACCTTGTGAACAGGGAACAGGGCTTGGAGCAAAAAAAAAAAAGCATACCTTTTTATATTTTTATTTTTGAATCAAGTGAATGTGTTTTCTGTTTTAAAAATACATTTTAACAGAAGTAATTTAATGGTACCTGATGTGTCAGTTGTCACAAAACTGCTGTCACAGACCACACCAAGACTTAATAATGATTTATTCTTGAAGACCTACAGCTCAGCTGAAACTCAGCTGATCCAAGTTAGGCTCAACTGAGAGACTGCTTCAGGCTTCAGTGCCTGGAATAACTCTGCATCTTACTCAGATCTGTAGACCAGCTTCCCATGTCTATTACTCTCCTTGGACTGGCAGAAACAGAGGCACAAGGTAGCTAATGGAAGCATGCAAGGGTTCTTAAGTCCTATGCTAAAAAAATGGCACAACTGCTAACCCTATGCCATTAGCCAAAGCAAGTCAAGGGTTGAGGAAATACACTACCCACAAGGAAGCCATGGCAAAAGTATAAATTTGGGGAGGGGCCAATGATTCAATCCATCTAGTTGATAACTAGACAACCAGAAATATTCTAAAACTAAAACTGTGTACAGGTCTAAGAAGTAGCAAAGAGTAGGTGTAACTTTTCTAAACTTGAACACTCTATGCATGTCACATCTTGTCCTGAAGAGTTGTGTCATCACTGCCTATATGGATCATGAATTGAATGGAATAGAGACTTAAAAATTCATAGGATGGAAAAGACTTCAGACCATATGTTACCCTATGTCTTTTACAGATGAGGCAACTGAGGCTCAGATAAATTAAGTAAAGTTAGGATAAAGAAGGAACTGTAAGTTAAGTTGAGCAACAACAGAAGGACTAAAAAAGAGCTGTAACCCCTAAAGCATAATTATTTACTTTGGGTAAGGACCCATTGTAAAAAAAAAAACTTAAGAAGTATATCAAAAGAATTTGTTAAATGCATGATGTAAAAGACTGATTGATTAAAGTTTCCTTAAAGTCCTGGTAATGGGCTGACCTGGGAAATAAAGAGAAGGAACTGCAGTGACATTAACTACAAACAACACCCATAGTCATAAATCAGGACAGATTTTATTCATAGAACAGAACTCTGATTTAGAGATAGATCTCATACATGAATAGTAACCGTGTATATTACATTATTATTTTGAATTTTTTCATTAGTTGTTTTTAATTTAAAAGACTTCAAAGATAAATGAAAAAGTAAATCTTTCTCCTATACCAGACACCCAGTACATCTACCCCAAGCAAAATACTATTACTAGTTTCTTATGTATTATTCCATAAATGTACTATGCATTCTAGGTTTGTGTAGTTAAATATAGAGTATTTGCATCTTACTCTAAGAATGTATTTCTAAACACCTGGCATAATTCAATATTTACTTTCCCATAACAAGCATTATTATTTTCAACCAGCTAAAGATGCAATGGCATTAAAAATGACTTACAATTCATTAGTCCCACCGGCTTGAAAAATTATGCAATCCTACTTAATTCTTTTTAATTTGGGGTAATTCACAATATATAATTTATGTGCAAATGCAAAGCCAGCAATCTAGAAGAACAAAGTCATCAGAGTTACATTATCTAATTTTTGAGACTTACAATAGACAGTGTGGTACTGTGTGGTATGGACACAAGGATAGGAGAATACATTAATGGAACAGGACACAACATATTCCTGGCAGCATCATCACACTAATAATTGTGATTGAGCTAATAATTCACTAAAACAACTAAATCTTTCTCACATGGGCAACTATGTACCCATGTCAGCTTCATCCTCACTTTGCCCAGTTGATTTCACAAAGTATAGGACTTTACATTTTATTACTACTATATTTTATCCTATTAGTTGTTGCCCTTCTTTTCAGCCAAGAGCTTTCTGGATTTTGATTCTGTCATTTAATGTATTCTCTATCTCTTCATGATCCTTAATGTCTGTGAATTTGGTAATTACATTATATAGCCCTCTTTCCGTTGTATTAATAAAGACCAAATTTAAACTGACCTAAACCAAACAGGAAATTTCATAATCAAAAAGTCCATTGTAAACTCAGACACAATTGGATGCTGGTAATTTAATATCACCTGGAAGTCTTTGCCAGAGCAATCAGGCCAGAGAAAGAAATAAAAGGCATCCAAATAGGCAAAGAAGAAGTTAAACTATCTCTCTTCATTGACAATATGATTCTATACCTAGAAAACCTTTAAAACTCCAGCAAAGGGCTCTGAAAACTGATGAACGACTTCAGTAAAGTTTCAGGATACAAAATCAATGTACAAAAATCAGTAACATTTCTATATACCAATAATGACCAGGCTGAGAGTCAAATCAAGAACACAATCCCATTTACAATAGCCACAAAGAAAATGAAATAGCTCAGAATACAGCCAATCAAGACAGTGAAAGATCTCTACAAGGAAAATTACAAGACACTGATGAAAGAAATCAGAGATGACACAAATGAATGGAAAAACATTCTGTTGATGGATTGGAAGAATCAATATTGTTTAAATGGTCATACTGTCCAAAGCAATTTACAGATTCAATGCTATTCCTGTCAAACTACCAATGTCATTTTTTACAGAATTAGAAAAAAATATTCTAGGCTTGGTGTGGTGGCTCATGCCTGTAATCCCAACACTTTGGGAGGCCGGAGCAGGCAGATCACTTCAGGTCAAGAGTTCTAGACCAGCCTGGCCAACATGGTGAAACCCCACCTCTACCAAAAATACAAAAATTAGCCAGGTGTGGTGGTGGACAGCTGTAATCTCAGCTAATTGGGAGGCTGAGGCACAAGAATCACTTGAACCCAGGAGGCAGAGATTGCAGTGAGCTGAGATCGTGCCATTGCACTCCAGCCTGGGTGACAGAGTGAGACCCTGACACACACTCACAAAAGAAAAAATATATTCTAAAAATCATATGGAATCAAAAAAGAGCTTGAATAGCCAAAGCAATCCTAAGTAAAAGAACAAAGCCAGAGAGATCACACTACCCAATCTCAAGCTATACTATAAGACTACAGTAACCAAAAAAGCGTGGTGCTTATACAAAAAACAGACACATAGACCAATGAAATAAAATAGAAAACTCAGAAATAAAGCCCCATGCCTATAACCATCTGATCTTTGACAAGGCTGACAAAAACAAGCAATGGGGAAAGGATTCTCTATTCAATAAACGGTGCCGGGATAACTGGCTAGCCATATACAAAAGAATGGAACTAGACCCTTACCTTTCACCATATACAAAAATCAGCTCAAGACAGATTGAAGACTTATATGTAAGACCTCAAACCATAAAAATACTAGAAGAAAACCTATAAAATACTCTTCTTGACATCGACCTGGCAAATAATTTTCAACTAAGTGCCCAACAGCAATTGCAACAAAAACAAAAATTAACAAGTGGGATCTAATTAAACTAAAGAGCTTCTGTACAGCAAAAGAAACTATCAGCACAGTAAACAGATAACCTACAGAATGGGAGATAATATTTGCAAACTACGCATCCAACAAAGGTCTAATATCCAGAATCTATAAGGAACTTCAATCAACAAGCAAAAAACAAAAAACCTCATTAAAAAATAGGCAACGGACATGAACAGACACTTCTCAAAAGAAGACATATAGGTAGCCAGCAAATATGAAAAAAATGCTCCCATCACTAACCATCAGATAAATGCAAATCAGAACCACACTGAGATACCATCTCATACCAGTAGAATGACTATTATTAAAAAGTCAAAAAATAACAGATGATGGTGAGGCTGCAGAGGAAACATTTACACTGTTGGTGGGAATGTAAATTAGTTCAGTCACTGTGGAAAGCAGTTTGGAGATTTGTCAAACAACTCAGAGCTACCATTTAACCTAGCAACCCCACTACTGAGTATCTGCCTGAAGAAAAATAAATCATTCTACCAAAAAGATACAATCACTCTTATGTTCATTGCCATGCTATTCACAATAGCAAAGACGTAAACCAACCTAGATGCTAATCAGTGGTGGATTGGATAGAGAAAATGTGGTACATATATATCATGGAATACTACGCAGCCATAAAAAGAATGAGATCATGTACTTTGTAGCAACATGGATGCAGCTAGAGGCCATAATCCTAAACAAATTAACACAGGAACAGAAAATAAATACTGCATGTTCTCACTTGTAAGTGGGAACTAAACACTGAGCACACATGGACATAATCACAGGAATCAATAAACACTGTCGACTGATAGAGGCGGGGTGGGGCATGGTTTGAAAAACCTAATGGATACTATGCTCACTACCTGGATGATGGGATCCATACTCCAAACCTCAGCATCATACAATATACCCATGTAACAAACTTACATATGTACTCCTTGTATCTAAAATAAAGTTTTTAAAAAACAAAACATAATATCACCAGGATTCTTCTGCTCTCTCTGTATCTCAGCATTGTTTTCCTCCATGTAGGCTTGAGCTTCTCATTAGAATGATCTCAGCAAAAGATTTGGTCCAATCTCTCATTGGCCTGAATTGAGTCACTTGTTTATTTCAGAACCAGTCGGCATGGTTAGGAAAATGTATTTCTTGGATTATGTTGTTTGTTTTGAATAGCATGTTCATCCCTGAAACCATGGATGAGGTAAGCCTCCCTTCAACCACATAGATTAAAGAGTGAGAAAGGGAAAAGGTGCCTTCTCCCCCTAAAAAAAACAGAGCATTGTAACCAGGTTGTTGGAGGAATAGTTACCAGAAAAAAGAAAAAATGACATATACATACAGTGTTCACCTAGGTTGTTGACAAAAAAAGATATGTATGACCAAATGAAAAAATAAACAAGGAGCATATAAACATAAGGATATTGTCTTCAAAAATCATATATTTTTGGATTTGGTTTTAGAGTATAGTAACAGGAAAAGTGAACAGGTGATAGATATAAAGGAAGTAGGAGAATTTCACCTCCATATTCTCAATATTGATAAAGGTTTGATAATTGCCCAGTTCTGTTTACATTTAATCAAAAAACTGGAGAAGTTGGAGAAGGTCTGCATCTTAGCTCAGGTTGCTATAACAAAATACCATAGACTGGGTGACTTAAACAACAGGCATTTATTTCTTACAGTTTTAGAGGCTGGGAAGTCCAAGACCAAGATGCCAGCTGATTCAGTTTTTGGTGAAGGCCCTCTTTCTGGCTTGTAGACAGCCACCTTCTCACTGCACTCTCACATGGCCTTTCTTCAGTGCCGCACATCTTCCTCTTCTTTTTTTTTTTTTTTTTTTTTTTTTTTTTTTTTTTTTTTTTTTTTTTTTTTTTTTTTTGAGACGGAGTCTCGCTCTGTCGCCCAGGCTGGAGTGCAGTGGCGGGATCTCGGCTCACTGCAAGCTCCGCCTCCCGGGTTCACGCCATTCTCCTGCCTCAGCCTCCCAAGTAGCTGGGACTACAGGCGCCCGCCACTACGCCCGGCTAATTTTTTGTATTTTTAGTAGAGACGGGGTTTCACCGTTTTTAGCCGGGATGGTCTCGATCTCCTGACCTCGTGATCCGCCCGCCTCGGCCTCCCAAAGTGCTGGGATTACAGGCGTGAGCCACCGCGCCCGGCCCCATCTTCCTCTTCTTAAAAGGGCACTAATTTCATCGCGTCACGAGAGCCCCACCCTCATAACCTCATCTAAACCTAATTACCTCTCAAGGGGCTCACCTCTAGATACCATCACATTGGAGGTTAGAGTTTCAATATAGCAATGTTAGGGAGATACAAATATTCTGTCCATAAAAGCCTGCAAAAGAGTTATAACTAAATTCAAAAGTCAAAGAAATAGCCAAAGAAATGAAATTTATTTAGTCATTCTTCACACAGTGAAAGTCAACAGAATCAAGGATGGTTAATCCAGTCTTGCACCCAGAAATAGCATTATTCTTAGGGAAGCTTAATCTGCACATACAATGAAAAGAACACTCTGTACCACCTCCAAGATTTCCTGCTTTGAGCAGGAACTACTAGTAAAGTCAACAAATCTCAAAGGGTACTATTCAGCTAAATTCTGTCCCATAGGCAGGAAGTCCAAGCACAAGAGATTACACTTAATGGAAGCAAACTGGTCAATTAATTGAAGAATATGACCTTAAAACCACCTTTTAAAATCCACACGAATATCTGATAATTATGTGATTGAGGGAAGCTGGAAGCACAAGATATAAAATGGGTGATACCAAAAATGAAAATAAAATTATAGGTTATTATGCCAATTAGGGCTTTTAAAAATACATTTTTAAAGCTTAGATATTTAGCTATTGCAAGGCTGTCATTTTCTTTTGCTGAACCCACAGAGTGAAAACAGGGTATGAGAGGTGTTTCCTGCAATGTCCAGTTCTTAAAATATAAAATATAAAAAAGAATTTGAAATGTATAGAAAGTAATAAGGAAATAAGTAATCCTGCTTAAAACATGCTGAAGAGCCCTGTCCAAGCACTGTACATTCGCCGTGGTTTTGCTTCAAGGTCAATCCCACTGTCTGGAGTTTTCAAGTTTAATACCTGTTCTGATGACAGCAACAGCAGACACAACATATCCTTGGTGCCCCAGAACAAAGTGACACCCCTGACCCTGGCATCAGAAGGTTTGATTTCTAAGCCCCATTCAGCTGAAGTCAGCAGATAAATCACTTAATCCTATGAAATAGGACTACCACTCCCCTGATGAAGAAGAACAGGTAAATGATTGTGCTCGATGACACAGCACACAACCTGGGCCTACAGGCTGCATGTGTGGGCTTGGACAGGATGGCTTGGAATGTGGCCCAACACAAATTTGTAAACTCTTAAAACATTATGATTTTTTTTTTTTGCGATTTTTCTTTTTTAGCTCATCAGCTATTGTTGGTGTTAGTGTATATCGTGTGGCCCAAGACAATTCTTCTTCCATTGTGGCCCAGGGAAGCCATAAGATTGGACACCCCTGCTGAGTACATTCTGAAGATGTGGCCTAGCCAGATATTTTCATTGACCACCCCATCTCCAACTAGTCCTTCATAACTTCTAATGTGACTTAGGATATTTAAACAGGGTTATAAGGTGAACTTGCACAGTCATAATCCAAATCTATATTAATCCACTAATGGAAAAAATATCTGTCAACCAGTTAAACTTAGGTATTCACTCATCATTTTAAAAATCGTATTTTTGGGAAGAATAAACTGATATTGGTAATACTGAATAACTCAAAATCTAAAACCTATATAGACAATATTTATAAACAAGATACAATACCTTATTTTTAATTTTGTCTTGAAAATCAAAAATAAAACTAATTTTATTTTCTGTACATCTTGATGTTCATTAAGTTTATTGCACTACACTTAATATACTCTAGAGTATGCATTACGTTGTACTCTTTCATTTTTCTTGTTTCTCCAATTAGATTTTTAAAAATATATTTTATTTTTAGAACAGATTTACATAAAATTTATATAAAAATTGTGAAGAAAGAATTCCCATATACCCTACACCCAGTTTCCCCTATCACACGTTTAAATAGTTTATTTTAGTTTGAATTGGTTTTATTTTCACTTGATTTTTTACTTTTAATCAACGTAACTGATATACTTGATAATATAATCAAATAGTACTAAAAAGGTGATAATCAAATTCATCAGTCTTTGCTGCATTTTTCCCCATGGTAATCATTTTCATCTGTATAACTATTTCTTCTAGTTACTTCTCTGTTTCTAAATAATGTATATATATCCTGAATTTCCTTCATTTATCAGTATTAGGATATCTCATCATTTTTTCCAAATACTCCATTAGATCACACACCAGTCAACAGCACTTTCTAACCCATCTAGTGTTACCAGAGAATCCATCCATTCCATTTCTTCCCTCTATTTCTATTCCAGAGTGTCCATTCTCTTGTTCCAGTCTGTAACTGGTAGGCTCTCTAGGACTGATGCCTAGCTGAGATTTTCTTCACCAATTTCCTGTTTCATCCCCTATCTATCTCTTGGACTTTGGGGCTTCATCTTTCTTGAGTAGTGCCCTCATTCTGTTGGCACAGATATGTCATTCATTTCCCAAGACTCAAAGAAGATGAGTTTTTAAAACTTTTCTTATCTAAAACTGTTTTTATTCTGCCCTCACAACTGATTAATGGTTTGGCTAAGTATAGAATTCTAGAATGAAAAATATTTTCTCTCAGAATTCTAGAGGCATTACTCCATTGTCCTCTATTGCCAATATTTCTGTTGCAATGTCCTCTGCCATTCGATGACCTACAGTATGTAACCTGATCTCTCTGGAGGCTGGCAGCATTTTCTCTTTAATCCTAGGGAGCTGAGATTTTTTGAAGAGTTGCTTTACAAGGGTCTCTTCATTCACTGTCCTAAGCAATCAGTGGGTACTTTCAACCTGGAGACTTGTGTTCTAGCATCTTCCTCTCTGTTTTCTATATTCAAAAATTTTGTTGATATCTCTTATCTCTTAAAGACTACATTCCCATATTTTACCAGAAGTTCTTTGAGGTAATATTTTTTTAGTGTATAGTAAACCCAATCATCAACTCTAATGGCATGTATATTGACTTTGAAATATGGCCTAAAACTTTGGAGTATATAGCATTTCAAGCCAAATAATAAAGCTACTTGAAGAAAACCTGATCACTTGAGTTGAAGTTATCCAGTTTATCCATCTGTCTCCCCATTTAATTACCAGCATAGGACTGGTTAAGTAGATTAGAGAACACTTATATAATAAAATATCATGTTATTTTGTCATGTTGTCATTCTAAACCATTTGAGAATAAGTTGAAGACATCATGACCTTTACCAATAAATATTTCAGTGTGCATTTCCTAGGAACAAGTCATCCTTTCACATAATCTTTCTAAATTTATGACCAATAGATTGAAGGAACAAGATATGCTCTTGCTAAAATTAGCCATAAACATAGAAATTCTGTATATAATGTATCTACACTGGACATGGTCCAAAGAGATTTAATGATAACAATTAGCCACAGCATTTTTGTAATATGATTGCACTTCTTCTTTCATCCTATGACAGAGGCCCCATAAAGTTCTAAAACATAGCACATGGCATGACCATCCAACATCCAGAATGTTTTCTAAAGCCCAAATCAACTTACATCTTATTACTGGTCTTCGATATGCAAAGAATTCTAATGTGCTATATTTAAATGTTGGTTTGCTCTGAATGTATGCCACCCCTTCTTCTTACTCTATTTTAAAAGCGGGAGCTGTCCTAATTTATGAGTATGAAAAAAAGATGACTGTATTTGGACTTGCTATTTAAAACGCCTGAATATAATTCTCTCCTTCATATGTGTTTTGGAATTTTCCCCTATCAGAAAGTTTATCAGGGTCAAGATCTGAGAATTGAAAATGTTCTATACAAGGGAAATGTGGTTTACCTAAAGCTTATTAATTGTGGTCTCTTAAAAACTCTTTTCTAGTCTTCAGCAAGGATTTTAGACAAATTTCATTGAAAAAACTATTTTAATTCTAAATAATCAAACACCATCAACACATCTAAGTTATTAAAGAATAATTTTTAAATGATCTCTGTCAACTAAGATACTTGTAATTTTTTACTGTGAAACAAACTGTGCAAGCAATCACAATGAGAATATTTATAAAAACTTGATAAAATTTGATTTTTTTTTTTTTTTTTTTTGAGATGGAGTCTCGCTCTGTCGCCCAGGCTGGAGTGCAGTGGCGCCATCTCGGCTCACTGCAAGCTCCGCCTCCCAGGTTCACACTATTCTCCTGCCTCAGTCTCCCAAGTAGCTGGGACTACAGGCGCCCGCCACCACACCCGGCTAATTTTTCATATTTTTAGTAGAGACGGGGTTTCACCGTGTTAGCCAGGATGGTCTCGATCTCCTGACCTCATGATCTGCCCTCCTCGGCCTCCCAAAGTGCTGGATTACAGGCATGAGCCACCGCACCTGGTCAAAATTTGATTTTTTTAAGAGACAGAATCTTGCTCTGTCGCCCAGGATGGAGTGCAGTGGTGTGATCATGGCTCACTGCAGCCTTGAATTGCTAGGCTTTAGCAATCCCCAGGCCTCAGCCACTCAAGTAGCTGGGACTACAGACACCTGCCACCATGCCTGGCTAACTTATTTTTATTTTGTGTTTAGAGATGGGATCTTGCTACATTGCCCAGGCTAGTCTTGAACTCCTGGCCTCAAGAAATCCTCTTGCCTTGGCCTCCCAAAGTGCTGGGATTACAGGCATGAGCTACTGTGCCTGGTCAAAATTTGAAAATAAATACTAAGAAAGTGAATGTCAACTCAGTGAAAAGGTAGTATATTACCATAAGAAAGACTGAGAGAAAATGAGTTAAATAGATATCTAAAATATTTGAGATTGTTTCAAAAACATAAATAAATATTGCAAAATTATTCAGAGCAGCCTTGCATTTTTATGGCAGATGAAAGTCAGTGGTCCTTTCACTTAAAAGTGTTTAACAACGCCTTATCCAATGTAGTAGGCATCTATTGTTTGTGTCTGCCAGCCATTCACTCCATGTGGGCATGGAGAGTTTCTCAGTCAGAGAACCTTACTCTCCCCTGGCTTCAGGAGCTAAGACAGTCCCCAGGCCAGTCAATCTTTATACCTTCTGCTGTTCATAAAGATTGGTGGCAATGGATGAGTTTTACACCCAAGCTGGACCGGGTACCCAGATAAGATCCAGTATATGGATCCCAAAGAGTCTCTCTTCCTCTGCTTTCAACTTACAAAGACCAGCTAAGACTGGAGCAGCCATTGGCCATCTTTGACTACCACATGCAGAGGACCTGTCTGTGAATGCCAATACCCAGAGAAATGATAAATTCAGTGACAGAGGACAAGAGAGCCAGGAATCCTACTAAGCCCCTGAATTCTGTTATTCTAAAGCTAATTCCACACCTAAACTTCCTAGTTAAAAGAGCCAATGAATTCTCTTTTTGTTTGAGCTAATCCAAGCTGGATTTCTGTCACTTGCAACCAAGCATCCCAATAGATCAGGCAAGGCCTTTTCAAAACGCATGGTATAATTAAAGCTCATATAAGTACACTTGAACAATGGTTGCTCCTAAATGGTACATTTGCCAAATAAAGATTATAAAGTTATATGAATAAAATGTAAGCTGAATTTTCTTATAACTTTGTAGACATTTCCATTACTCACATATAAGCAGCCCTAGACTGCCTATTGCCAAGAAGAGAAACTGCCTATGTATGCAGAGGGAAACAGAAGAATTCGAGGGGTTCTCAAGCCAAAGAAACATAGACTCCTCTTGTCTGAAAAGCTTTCAAAAGCCATAGGCTCAGTGTCTGTACATTACACAAAAAGACTATTAGGTTAAGAATAAGAGAATATTCAGATTTGAAGGTGCTGTATTTTTAAAGAAACCTCAGGAAGTATACTTGATAATGTGATTCAGAATTTGAAAGAAAAGTCTTGAGTAGGGGGCATGAAGTTAATTTATATGAGATTCATGTTCTATTAATATAAAAACATACTTCTTAACAAAATATCTTACACTGTAGGTTTGCTCTTAGGGAAAATCTGAAATATGAGAAATACTCATTATGATTTTGAATACAATAAAGAGAATTGGATACTCAATATCAGCCAAGTTCTTTATACAGTCCCAAGTGTTATGTGCCTTTCTCTTTTATTTCTCTTAGGGAAGTAAATACACCTTTGTACCACAGTGTGAAGAAATCTCATTATCCAAAGGTTGGTTGTAGCTAGCAGGCTGAAATTCCTCTGTCCCATGTCTGACATGTGAATTCTCTCTTGCAGGCACATTCCTTAAGCTGATCTTTGGGGTCATTTTCCTTCTTGATTCTTCTTCCCCAGTTAACTTCTTGGTCAGAAGAAATGTAGGTTTCTAGACACAGTGAATCATATAACTAGCACAAAATATGCAACATTATCTTTTAATGATTTGTTTTCACATCCCTCTCTATAAAAGCATCTGGTATCTTTTTCTTACCTTTGCTTAAGAGTGCCTCACAGTGTCTGGCACAAAGTGAGTACTCAATAAATGTTGACTTAATGAATAAAGAGAACATTCAGTCTGAAAAGGGTCTTGGAAATGATCTGCCACTTTACACTGGGAGCAAACTGAGGGTTTAAGAATTTAGATGATGTGCCAAGAACACAAAGCTAATTAGTGGTAGTCCCAACTCTAAGTTTCTTGAATTCTAATCCAATGTTCATCCACTAACCCAGAATTTTTAGCCATTTTTAATAAGGTCTACCTGGGAGACATTTTCTTAAAATATAATCTGAAGTATGATCAATTTGAAGATATCACAACAGTCCCCACTCTAAGAATATCAATTGCGTTTTTTTACAAAAAGATAATTATTAGCAAACATCAATATCTGAACTCTTTATTAGTCATAAATTTTTTGAGATATACCTCAAAACAGATGATGTCAAACTAGTATGTTAAGAGGCCAAAGAAAGTGAAGCCATTGCACTAAACTAGGCTAACATATATAGGTCTTTTCCCTGAAGACAACAAAGCCACTCCCTTGATTTTACCTCAGACTCATTCTTCTTGAAGTTTTCAGATCTTGAATTGGTACATCCCTGTGTTCTATTCTCCGTAGTTATGGACATATACCTCCCTTGACTATACTTGAAGCTGGAAATTGCCATCTTTCACTTTTGTATCTCTAGTGCCTACTACACAGCGAAGCTCCCGACAGATGTCAGTTTATGAAACAAATGTGGGCAACTGGATAACCACATGCAAAAAGATAAGTTTAGACACCTACTTCACACTATATACAAAAAGTAAATAAAAAAGGATTGTAAACTTAAATGTAGAAGCTAAATAACAGAAAGCATAGGAGATAACCTTGAAGACCTTAAATTAGACAAAGATGGTTTTAGATATGAAACTAAAAACATGTTCCATAAAATAAAAAAATTGATAAATTGGACATCAAAATTTAAAACTTTTGTAACTACAAAAGATATCACCAGGAAAATAAAAAGACAACCAATAGACTGTAAGAGGTATTTGCAAAACACATATCTGATGAAGGACATATCTAGACTATACAAAAAAATCTCGACATATTTTTAAAAAAAGACAAATGACCCAATCAAAAAATGGATAAAATATATGAGCAGATATTTCACTAAAGAAGATATGCAAATAGTAATGGCTAATAACAATATGAAAAGATGTTCAGCACCATTTAGTTAGGGAAACAAATTAAAACAAAAATGAGATACCACTTCAAATCCACTGAAATGGTTATAATAAATAAGGCGACAATAGCAAATGTTGCTGAGAATGTGGAGAAATGGGGACTCTTATATGTTGTTAGTGGAAATATAAAATGGTGCAGCCACTTTAAAAAACAATTTGGCAGTTTCTCAAAAAGTTAAACATAAAACTACGAAATGATCCAGCAATTCCGCCCTAAGTATTTACAGAAGAAACATAAAAACATGTATCTGCACAAAGACTATCATAAGAATGTTCATAGCAGAATTATTAATAATAACCCCAAATTGGAAACAATTGAAATGTCAATCAATCAGTGTGTAAGCTTGGTGCCATGGCTCATGTTTGTAATCCCAGCACTTTGGGAGACCAAGACAGGAGAATCGCTTGAAATCAGGAGTTTGAGACCAGCCTAGGAAACACAGCGAAACCCTGTTCCTACAAAATAAATTAGCGAGGTGTAGTGACCGGTGCCTGTGGTCCCAGCTACTCAAGAGACTAAGATGGGAGGATCGTTTGAGCCTGGGAGTTTGAGGTTGCAGTGAGCTATGATCACACCAAGCAAATCTAGCCTAGGCAATAGAGTGAAACTATGTCTCTTAAAAATATATATATGGATATACTGAATATGGCGTATCCATACAATGAGACACTATTCAGCAATAAATGTTATGTCATGGATGACCCTCAAAAAGTTATGCAAGGCAAAACAAGCCAGACACAAAAAAACACATGTCACATAATTCCATTTATATTAAATGTCCAACAAAGGCAAATATATAAGCAGAAAGTAGGTTAGTAGTTGCCTGGGCCCTGGTATAGGAATGAGAATAACTATAAATAGGCATGGGGTCTTACTGGGAGAATAAAAATGTTCTTAAACTGATTACTCAGTAAAGTCACTAAAAAAATCTCAAAAAAGACATACAAACAGCCAATAAACAGGTGAAAAAATGCTCAACGTCACTAATCATCAGAGAAATGCAAATTAAAACCACAACGAGATACCATCTTATACCTGTCAGAATGGTTATTATTAAAATGTCAAAAAACAACAGATAATGAGAACATGGGGAAAAAGGGAATGTTTACACACTGTTGGTGGGAATGTAAATTAGTATAACCTCTATGGAAAGCAGCATGGAGAGTTCTCAAAGAACTAAAAATAGAACTACCATTTGATCCAACAATCCCACTATTGGGTATCTACCCAAAGAAATCATTCTATCACAAGGATACCAGCACTTGTATGTTTATTGCAGAACTATTCACAATACCAAAGATATGAAATCAACCTAAGTATTTATCAATACAGGATTAGATAAAGTATGGTACACAGATACCATGGAATACTACTTAGCCATAAAAAAGAGTGAAATCATGTCATTTGTGACAACATGGATGGAACTGGAGGCCATTAGTCTAAGTGAAATAACTCAGAAACAGAAAGTCAAATACTGCATGGTCTTGCTTATAAGTGGGAGCTAAGGACTGGGGTACATGGACATGCAGAGTGGAATAACAGACACTGGAGTCTACAAAAGGTGGGATGAAGACAAGGGGATGAGGGTTGAAAAATTACCTATTAGGTACAATGATCACTATTCAGGTGATGGGTACACTAAAAATCTAGACTTTACCACTATACAATATATGCATATAAGAAATCTACACTTGTATCCCCTAAATATATAAAAAAATTTAAATTTAAAGTTACTAAGAATCAGAAAATTGTCACTTGATACATAAGCAGAAAATGTATGGAAAATAACCAAAAAATGTACACTTTAAATAGGTGAATTTTATGAGATGTAAAATATACCTCACTACAGTCATTTAAAAAAAAAGGTGAATGTATCATTGCCCTATATATAACCCTTGAGAAGATCCTTATCTTCATTGTCATTCAGTATTCCATTACATGGACATACCACCAATTTCCAGAAGCTGTCTACTCTCCTCACCTCCACCCGCAAAGGAAAAAAAAAAAAAAAAAAAAAAAACCCTCTCTCAAAAGCCCATAGTACATTTTAGCATATTTGTTCCAGTCTTTCCATTTACAGCAGTGAGACGTGGGCCTTTTGACAGCAGATCATTCGCATTTTTATAGAGTCCTTATTCAGTTGGGGTACCCTGCCCTTGGAATGCTGACAGTTTGGCAGAAGAGAAAGATCCAGAAAACTATGGCATAGAGTTTCTGAGGATGGCAAGATCCTACTGGAGCAGGTTGGGGAATACCCAGAAAGTCTTCCTGGAAAAGATGTCATCTGAACAGGACATTGCATGACAGAACTCTCACAGATGGAAATGAGCAGTACAAAGCCTCCTTGACTGAGATCAGTGGGTAGACACATCTATTCTGAGTGCTTTGAGCTATGGATCTTTGTTCCTGATCTTTCTCTTCTCTTGCCAAATCATGTTCACCTGCTGTTAGCTCTGTTATCTTACCTAGCTACTCAAACAAACTTGGGCAGACAAAGAGCAGAAGCTGGAGAAATAATTGAGCTTTCATCTGGAGCACTGTGATTAAGTTATCTCCACATCATCAATATCTAATTGGGTGTTAGAAGGTACTATTTCACAAATGCTGTTTTTCTCAAACTTAAGCCCCTGACACCCAGAGATAGTGTCACAGAGAGGAGGGCTGGAAGAGCAGTAGGAGAAGCCCTGCCAGAACCCAAGCATTAAAGTTCTAGATAAAGACACCCTCTTTAGAAAGAAACATGTCAGACCTGTGGGCACAGTTTCCCCTGGTAAATATGTGAATCAAAAATCAATATACAGTGTGTTGTGTTTGACCATGCATGGAAAATGAATCCTGACTTTAGGGGGAAACCCACTGAATCAAAAGTTTGACCCTTAGAGAATCTGTTGAGTCATTGTATGGAAAAATACTATTAAGTTTGCTTCTTTGGTTCCAAAGCATTCTGAAATTTTTGAGCAACATGAATATGTAAAATATCACTATTTTCAATATTCCTGTCTTTTTTTTTGTTTTACTATTTCTTATGTGATGATCAAATTTAGCCATTGTACTAATAGTAAACCATGTGCCAGGCACTGGATTAACATCAGTAAATAAGGAGAAATAAGGATGAAAAATGTGTACGGAGTTCAGGTATAATCCTGTGTTTATAAAAGTGTGATCTATGGACCATGTGCATCCAAATCACCTGAAAAAATATTAAAATGTAGATTCCTGGGACCCACTCTATCTCAAATGAATCAGAATCTCTGTGGGTAAAGCCAAGTAATTTACATCTTAACAGGTTTACAGGTGATTATTATGTACACTGAAGTTTGAGAATCATTGCCATTATAAGAAAGACACATCATGAACAAGTGTTACACTTGTATAATAATAGACAATAGATGTATAACAACTGACATCTCCATTTGTTTCCGTGGTAATTATGTGCCAGAGTGCCCTTGTATAATATTCTCAGTGCTGATGTTTTACAAACACACACAAGCTTCTAGATTTAAAAGTATCCAAAGAAGCCATTATAAAAGTATCAATATCATGAAAATAATTATCACTGTTAAAGGTGGGCACAAAGGAGGATGAGACTGACTCACAGAATCAGGAAAGTTATCATAGAGGAAACACTTGAGATGGCCTTGCAGCGACAGCTTGAAGCCCAGCTGGTCTGTTTTGAGGCATTGTCTTAGGATTCAGTATCACATTCCAGAACTGGCTGAATGTAGATGCTGCCACTGCTGATCCTAAAGTCTGCAATCCACTCTGGAGTCAGCAAAATGATGCCTTGTGACCAGCCTTGATCTTCCTATATCTCACTTCTGAGTCAAAGTCTTCCTCAGTGCGTCAGACTGGTTTCACTGAGGCCACATAACTGGCCACTAGTTTTGGGGAGACTTGGAAACATAGCCTTTGGTTTTAGTTTCTATGCTGCCTTGGGAAGGTGAAGTTCATAATGCAGGGAACTGTGAAAATACGGAGATCAAAAGATTTTGAGCTGCTATGATGTCATATGTCTACCATATAGACTATTCGAGTTACTACGATGTCATATGTCTACCATATAGACTATCTCCAGAACCTAGGCTTTTCGCCACCCTGCTCCATGGCTTCTTACTGTGGGCAGGGGTATGCAGTATTCTCATTGCCCAGATCTGGGTCATGCATTGGATATAGGAGCTGTTTGGAGTGGACAGGGATGTGCACCTCACAACACAAATTCTAACCCCCAAAAGGATTTAATATAACTATTTCCAAAGCCTCCTCCCCTTTATCATACGTAAATGCTCTGCACTGGACCCTGACAACAATAAGTAGATGGGAATTCAGGAATCCTTTCCTCTGCTAATGGTCTGAGACCACACGACATAACTGAACCTGCTGATCTGTTCCTTCTGAAATCAATAGCAATCCAATATCGAGTATGCCAAGATCCAAATCTTCATTTTCCACATACAAATTTCAGCGGTATTCAAATTTGCTGAAATAATTCAATAGGTCAACTCATGTAATTATCTGAGCTTATATCTTGAAGGCAACTTGGCAGGCTTACCAGGCTGCAGACCAGCTCAAATCAAAACATTATACATGAATCATATTAAAGTTTGATAGAAGAAGCAGGTAACTATTGATTCTTACCAATGGAATTTCTCAGGACAAAGCTATTTCTTCTCTGTCAGGATATAAAAATCAGGAACTCAACAGAATGCTTGTTTAAGCAGATAGACCCCATGCAGTGTGGGATGAGCTCCACTGGGGTCAGTTTGACTCTTATAAAAATGTCAGCAGTTATAAGCCTCATTTTAAAAATCATACCTCAGTCCTTCTCCATGGAGCTCAGCCATGCCTCCTTTGTGCTTAAGCTCACATCAATTATCTTAGTCAGGTTATTGACATCTGAGAAGCTGCTCCAAGGGTTGAAACAACAGGAAGCTATGTACTTTATTTTAGATCCTCAGGATAGAATGGTTTATTCATGGTCAGTATGAGAGTCAGCCATATGAAGAATATTTCTAACTTCTTAAAAGTTTTTTGAAAAATATTGCCCAGTGTGATATTTAATGTCCTTTATGTGATGATTCTCACAGAAAATTACTCCTTTCTGCTTGTTAAAATGTGTAGTCTTTTGACAGGTTTCTGACTTTTCCATTTATGGCATAATAAAAAGTATATAGCACATGCAGTTTTCATTTTTGTATCATCTGCCAGGAATCTGGAAGCTAAATTTAGTGCTCAACTGCAATAATTATCTTGAACTTTTAGGTACAATTAACTTTTTCTCCTTTATTATTTGGTTCATCTTCTTTTAATAGTGTCTTATTAATTTCAGTCTCAAATTCCTTTTTCAATGTATATTTCTGAGTTAAATTTAACATAAAATTCAGTTATTTTAAATATACGGTTTGATGAGTTATCAGAATTGTATATAGTCATGTAACCATCACCATAATCAAGTCATAGAATATTTCCATCACCCAAAAAAATTTCCTCTTTGCACTGATCCTCCTCCACCCTCCCCCTAACACCCAGCCTCAGCCTATAGTTTTACCTTTTCCAGAATTTCTTATGAATAGAATCACATGGAATATAATGTTGTGATTTCTTTTAACATAAGGTTTTTGAAATTCATCCATGTTATCAATATTTCTATTATTGCAAAATAGAAATCCATAGTATGATTATACCACAATTTGTTTATCAGTTACCCAGTTGATGGATAATTGGATTGTTTCGTTAGACACCATTACAAGTAATGTGGTTATAAACACTGACACACAACTCTTTGTATGGACACATATTTTCATTTCTCTTGGACAAATACCTACAAAATAGGAGAGTGTTGGGTCATATGGTTAGCATATGCTTACTATGGACAGTATCAAGTTGTTTTCCAGAGTAGTTGAACACTTTGCAGACCCACTTGCAAAGTAGGAAGTTCCAGTTGCCCCACATCTTTGTCAATGCTTGAGATTGCCAGGCTTTTAATTTTAGCCATTCTAGTGAGTTTGTAGTGGTATCTCTTTAATTTAAAGTAATTAATTTAAATTTAAATTAATTTAATTTAAATTAATGCAAATTAGTTTTAATTTGCATTTCCCTGATAACTAGTGATGTTGAGTACCTTTTCATGTGCTTACTGGGCAAACATAGATGTTCTTTTTTGAAGCGTCTGTTCAAATCCTCTGCCCAAAGTTGTTTTCTTATTATTGGTTGTAAGAGTTCTTTATATATTCTGAATTCAAGCCTTTGGTCAAATGTGTTTTGCAGATACTTTCTCCCAGTCTGTGGCTTGCCTTTTCATTTTCTTAATGTACCTTTCACAAAATAAAATTTTAAATTTGGGGGAAGTCCATTGTTGATTGTTTTCTTGTAAGAGTCATTTTTGTGATTTAAGAAATCCTTTCTTAACCTAGGCTTTCTCAAACTTGGCACATACTGAACTTTGTTGCAGGGGCTGTCTTGTGCATTGTGGGAGGTTTATCAGCATCTTGGGCCACACCCACTGGCTAGCAAATGCACCCTTTCCACTCCAGTTGTGATAACCAAAAATGTCTCCAGACATTGCCAAATGTCCCTTGCAGTACAAAATCACCCCTGGCAAGAACCACTGGTTTAACCCAACACTACAAATATTTCCTCCTATAATTCTTTTTCTAGCTTTAGCTCTTACATTTAAATTTTCTAGCTTTAGCCCTTACATTTAAATTTACAATCCACATTAATTTCTGTGTAGGGTCTAAGGTAAGGATCAAGGTTTATTTTTTCCATAAAGATATTCAATTGTTCTAGTGTCATTTGTTAGAAAAATTATCCTTTTCCCCACCAAATTACCTTGGTGCTTTTGCTGAAAATCAGTTGATCATATAAGTAAAGCTCTATTTCTGAGCTCTCTATTGTGTTGCATTGCTATATCTCTATCTTTATGCTGATAACATGGTCTTGATTATTATAGCTGTATAATAAGTCATGAAATCAGGAAATCTATTTTAATTTTTAAAAAGTGTGTTTTCTACTTCCCACACTACACTGATGTCAAAAAGTCTAAATACCTCATTTTTTTTCAAAATTGTTTTGAATTTTCTAGGTCCTTTGCCTTTCCGTAAATTTTAGAATAAACTCAACAATTTTTTTAAATAAACTTTTTATTTTGGAATAATTTTAGATTTGCAGAAAATTTGTGAAAGTGGTATAGTTCTCACATACCCCTCACCCAGTTTTAGTTTCTCCTAATATTATTATCTTACATTACTGTGGTACATCTGTCAAAACTAAGAAACCAACATTGGCATTATCACTATTAACTAAACTAAATACTTTATTTGGATTTCACCAGTTTTCCATGAATGTCTTCTTTCTGTTCCAAGATCTAATCTAGAATATCACATTGCATTTAGTCATCCTGTCTCTCCAATCTCCTGGTCTGTGTCAGTTCTCAGCCTTTCCTTGTTTTTCATGCATGACCTTAACAATCTTGAAGAGTATTGATCACGTATTTTGTGCAATGTCCCCCAGTTTGGTTTATCTGATGTTTTTCTCATGATTAGACTAGGCCCATGGGTTTTCAAGGAAAAAAAAAAAAAGCATAGAGAAGTACCCCTCTCATCACATAATATCAGGAGACACCTGATATCCACATAACATCACTGATAATGTTAAAGTCAATTTCTTTTTTATATGCTTGCTAGGATTTTGATTGGAATTGAAATGATTCTATGTATCGGTTGGGAGGACAATTGTCATTTTAATAACACGGAGTTTTCCAATCCATAAAATCCATTTAGAGAATTCTCTTTAGAATTTTCTTTAATTTCCCTTGCCTCCTCCAAGCATGGATTTCTCGTCAAGATCCATATGCTTCTGCTCACTCTTCTGAACCTTTAAGTAGCTGCTGCATATTATTAATGTCATTTCCCAGAGTCTATAGTTCTTACCTGCAGAAGGTTAGTTCAGTGAGATCTAATTCATCTGTTACTGAAAATAGAGCCCAACATTGCCTCAAATACTTTTTTAAAAATATTGAAACATAGTATTTGTACATATTTATGGAGTACAAGTGATATTTTGTTACACACATAGAATAAGTAGTGATTAAGTCAGGTATTTGAGTATTTATAATTTCTGTGGGTTGGACACATTTCAAGTCCTCTGTTCTAGCAATTTTGAAATATAAAATATATTGTTGGCCAGGTACGGTGGCTCACACCTGTATTCCCAGCACTTTGGGAGGCTGAGGCGGGTGACTAACTTGAGCTCAGAAGTTCGAGACCAGCCTGGCCAACATGGTGAGATCCCGTCTCCACTAAAAATACAAAAATTAACCGGGAGCAGTGGCACGTGCCTATAATCCCAGCTACTCAGGAGGCTGAGGTAGGAGACTCGCTTGAGCCCTGGAGGCAGAGGTTACAGTGTGCCCAGATCACACCATTACACTCTAGCCTGGGTGACAGAGTGAGACCTTTGTCTCAAAAAAAAAAAAAAAAAAAAAAAAACAAAACTTGTTGTTAACTATAGTCACTCTACTCTGAACATTAGAATGTATTTCTTCTATCAAACTGTATGTTTGTACCCATTAACTAGCCTGGAAAAAACAGACAAATTTATTATCCTTAAAATACCTTTAGAGTATGGTCATCATAACAATCTGTGCTAAGCCAACCTGCAATCTTAAAGTTCACTAACAGCTGGTAGACACACAGCCTGTGATCGTGAAACAAAGCTTTTCTCTGTGTGAAAGGAATAGACTATATGGAATTGATGTCTTCATACTTGGTTAAAATTTCAAATCTTAAGAGACCAAGCATAGGAGAACCATATATTTAATTCTTTATGAAAATTATCCAATGTCCTTGTTGTGGCAAAGTGGGCATCTTTCTGTGCAGCAATAAATTTTTGATGGTAATACAGTTAACTTTTTTGGAAAGCAAATGCACAAGAACCTTTAAACTATTCATATATTTCACCTAGTATTTCCACTTCTGGGACTCTCTCCTGTGGAGAAAACACTAATTAGAGTTAGAAGGAAGAGTGACCCTTAAGTACAAATATTTTCACAAAAGCATTGCTTATAATACTTTTCTAAAATGGGCTCGGTGTGGTGGCTCACACCTGTAATCCTAGTGCTTTGGGTGGCTGAGGTGGGAGTATCACTTGAGCCCTGAAGTTCAAGGCTATAGTGAGCTATGATCACACCACTGCATTCTAGCCTGGGTGACAGTGAGACACCATCTCTAAAAATAAAGATAAAAAATTAATTAATTTTTTAAATGATACTATGTAAAATATCCAATAAGAAGATAAATGCTTATATTCACATAATCATTTTTAAATGTTTATAAAAAGTTTTTGACATTATAATGTTAAGCATATATAATATGCTGTATGAGCTCAACTCTAATTTCTTTTAAGTGTAGAACAAAAAGACTAGAAGATAATATAATAATTTTAAAGGTGACTGGTGGGACTGTAGATGTTTCCTTTTTCTTCTTTCTACTATTTTTCAATAGTAAGCCAAGAAAACAGTAAGATATTTTTAATATTATAAAAACAAACCTTATTATTGAATTTTTGATCCAGAAAAGAAAAAACTTCAGAATACTAGTTTGCCCCTATACTTTATTGATAAGGAAACTTCCTCATCAAATTGTTTAAACTCCCTATATCTCCTATTGATAAGGAAACTTCCTTTAAACTAAGTGAGCTCACAAAGCAAGTTGGCAATTCTCTAAAACTGACATTTCCTGACTCTGGACATGATACTATATTTTGGTCATTTTTGCTGTGTTCCAGACTCCATTTCTAGGCTTAAGGGAACAGACATGGTTCACATCAGCAAGATTTAATTAAAATAATTTTTAAATTATTAAATAAAATATTTCAAGCTTATTTTTAACATGAATGCTCTAGAATCTGGAAAATGGAAGGAATCTTAGAGTTGTGTTTCCAGTGAATATTTCAAAGGGTGAGTAGAAGTGGAATTTTATTCTAAAAAGCTTTCTAGTTTTGAGATTTAAGGGTCTAATAAAGAACTCATGTTACATTTTATTTATTAAAAGCTCACTGTTTCCTTGTTAGAGTTATTACTGTTTGCTTGCAGTTACCCAAACAGACATGGCAGGGTACAACAAGATCTTGTAAATCAGGACTTTCTGTTCTGAATGGGTTCATCTTTACTGTTGACCTCTCAGCTAATGGTATAGTACCTGATAATTATCTACTAAATCATACATTGGACATAATGATCTTTAACTTACCTTCAAATATCCCAAACAATTTTTCCTAAAGTCTTTCTAAATTAAAAAAAAAGAAGACATTTATAACTTAACATTTCATATCCCTGGAAGATAATCCAATGGGAATATATAAGGTTAATAGAGTGTTCTTATCAAAAGTGATCTGGTCTGTTTGACTTACTGTTTGGAGTCCAGGTAATCAGGCCTATTTACTAGTTTAAGAATGTTCAGCAATTAGCAGTGTTCAAACAGCACCAATCTGCTATGTTATTTCAGCTGGGAAAGCAGCTTATATGAACCAATACGGCTTCCTTTCTAAAAATAAATGACAGCACTTTCTACTCACTGGGGAGCTGGTCCTTGGTCCTTTAGGCATGTCACACTGTCACAGTGCATAACAAAACAAAAGAGTGTGAAACATCTAAATAATTAAAAACCCAAAAGATATATCATGCTCTCAGATTTAAAAAAATAATAATAAAGTAACTTTGCCAACAGAAACATTATTGCAGGAAGACAAAACAAATATAAAGTGAATTTAAGAGGTTGTCTCTTTTCCATCAAGAACAACTACCTTCCTTGTTTTTAAGGCGGCTTAGTTATATTAGCAATTTTTAACACAGGGTACCTCAAATCAACAATCCCTTGCTTTTTAGACTTTGACACTTCCCCAGCTGCTAGGCCTGTGCTTAACTAAACAAGTACAGTAGCACAAGTGGAACATTTATGTAACATAGGAACTATAAATGTTCTTTTAAAAACAGGCCCACTCGTTCCAAAAGATATGACAAAGAAACAAGAGCATTACGTTTTTTAAATAGCTTCAAAATTCCTATGAGGAATGTATATTTTCTTCTACTTGCTGAAGTTAAAAGTGTCATATCATCTGTTTGCTGATGATAAAATGTCCTTTCTAAACAATTTTTTAAAAATTCACTGAGCATTTATCGGGTGTCAGATTCTATTCTAAAGAGTTTATGCGTATTCTGTCACTTAATCTTTGCAATAACCTTATGAGGTGTGGTTACCAACATTTATCCCTATTTTGCAAATGGAAAGACTGAGACTTAGAAAGGTAAAGAAACCCATCCAACATCAGTTAGCTATAGCAAATACTGGAGCATGGTTTGCACTCAGACCATCTGACTTCAGAGTCTCCACTATGGGTAAATCAAAATAATACTAAGGAGTTTTTTTGAATAAAAGAGCTGTCAAAATATCTGAAATAAATATTACAGATAATAAAATCATCAAACATGTTCTATGTATGACTTTTATTTTCTCAGTTACAGACACTTATTTAGGGACTTCCCTTATCATTGCCAGCTCCTTCTTTCACCTTGTACCCCTTTCTCTTGATCACACACACTCACGCACACACACACACATACCGGCAGCTTCATTGTATACTGCCTGTGGTAGGAACAAATAGGGCAGAAAGAAGTTAATGTTCCACTTTAACAAATGGATTAAATGGTAAGTGTAGCCCCAGAACTGGTGGGAGGGAAGGGAGAAAAGATCATTATTTGTAGAATCGATTACATGTTCCCACTTGCTTGTTTACTTCTAGGTAAACTCATTTATAGGTATATAGAAACAAGCAAAAATGTCTCCACACAAGGGATGATTCCTGGATTTCCTTTACTTTTCTGCCCAAGCCGTAAGTCTTGCTACTTACCTGACAAAAGCTAATGTAGTGGATTTTCTAGAACAGAGTTAAAGATAAATTTTCCCTTAATAAACTTGGATCTTAGTAAAGTAGATCCTGTAGAATGTAGATCAGCACTTTCTAGTCTCTAGAACTTTCTGCAATGAAGGAAACATTTGATATCTCTGCTGTCCAATATGGTAGCCACTAGTCACATATGGCTGCTGAGCACTTTAAATGTGGCTAGTGCAATTGGGGAACCAAATTTTTACCTTTATCTAACTTTTAAATAGTCACGTATAGCTAATGGCTATCATATTGGACAGCACAGCAATAGACCCATCTCAATTACAATTCATTGAGTATCTACTGTGTGCCACATGGCTACCTTTGAGGAAGATACAATTTGGTCCCAATTTTACAGATAGAGAAACTAAGGCTCAGAGAGACTAAGTGACTTGTCCACAGATTTACAACTAATAAGTAGTAAATTCTGGATATTACATCTACATCTGTCCCTCTCAAGGCCTGATGCTTTTACACAACCTGTGGTTCTCAACACTGGCTGTGTACTAGTTGGTGTGCTCTTCAAAAATACTCATCCCCAGGTCCCACTCCCCAGAAATTTTTGTTTAATTGGTTGGAGGCAGCGCCTAGGCACGTGCATATCTCCGAAATTTCCCTGTACAACATCATCAGGTTGACTGACGCCCCCTATTCTAGTACAGGAAAACTATTTCCAAAAGGTAGTTGTGATGAGGTTCTACCTCTTCTCTCAAGCATGGTTAACAGGTTAGTGCTGAAAGAGAGAGAGAGAAAAAAAAGAAAGGGTCACACTCCTTTGTTTTACAGATCAAAGTATGAAACCAAGAGAGGCTACTCTAAGCTAAGGTGAGGTCACAGAGCTGGTGTTTGTATTAGAGCTGAGACTGGGGCCCAGGTGTTGAGTTATAGATAAATGCTCCAGCTTCTGGAGCTGTGGGGGCAGCAAGGGTCCGAAGGTCAGGAAAGCTCAGCTCAGGGATTTAAAGTCCCAGGCAGCAATCAGAAGCCCAAGGGCAGACAGGCTATGACTGTGCAGTACTTCACTATTTCTAGAGGTGGGAACACTCAGCTGTCCAGGCTTGTCTGCTTCATCCTCTCCATCTCCTTTCTGCCACTCCAAAGGTCCTTAGGAGTGGTCCACAGGCCTCTGTGCAGCATTTTTTACTCTGCCAAGGTTACTTACAATGGATATAACCCTACCCTGGCACATAATAGATGCTTACAATCATGAATGTGAAATGAATAAAAGTAGATTTGGGAACTCAAGATTACTGAGGCTACTCAGCTTCTAGGTGAGCTCAGATATCTAACTGTGAAAAATAACTCTTTAAGAAATCAAATTTAAAAATCCCTTCAGAACCTTTGCACTTTTCTCAGAAAGGTGGCTCCAGAAGACGATATCAGCCTCTAGGACAGGCTTATTTTTTGTTTCAGCAGCTGAAAAGCCTTGAAAGTGATTAAGTAAGAAGAGAAGATGAAAATACTGACAAAAAGTTAAAAAGAGGAATTTATACCATATCCATATGTACTCCAAGGGTCCTGTTAAGTACAGGCAACCTACATTTGTCCCTCTTAGGTTAGGCGAGAGTGCTTGAAAGAAACTGCCACAAAAATAGAATATGCTGCTATAAACATTATCACTCAGACTAGCTAAGTATTTCTTTCTCTTATATGATAAAGGAGTAAAAATAAAAATAATTTGTGTTTTAGATTGTCCTCAGGAATGATGTGTGGCTATAAAATGTACTGTGGAAATCATCTCTCCATTCAGGAACTCAGCACAGCTGCTACCATGAGGAGACTGCGTATGTTCTGAAGCTAACGAACCTGTGTTCAAGAATCTGCCTTTAGAAGTAACAGCACTGAAAGCCATAAGCAAAAAAATCTCAAGTATGATGGTAGCAAATAGCTTCACATAGAAACATCTACTCTGTTGGCAAGTGCCCTTTAGAAAGCAGGACTTAAATTCTTTTAAAACAAAATCACCAGTCATTCTTAGGAGTCTGCTGCTTGCAAAAGTAGGAAAAACAGGTTTTTTGAGCTACAGCTGCAGATTCAAAAATTAGTTTGTACCAGTTGATTTTGCTTTAGTAATGTAAAAAGTAAAAAACCCAAAGAGAGCAGTAAGAATTAGCTGAGGGTGTTTAGAGATGTCAAAGAAAATAACGGCAGAAAAAGCCACTTCAAATATCTCCAGATTTGAATTTCAAGCCACAGTTTCTTTTAAATCTGCTTTCCCAACCCCTAGGCCAGTTTTTCTTTAATAGTAATACGTGCCCAAGGTTTAAAAATAACACTGAGGTATTAAATAGAACATTAAAGTCCCCTAACTCCTATCTACTTTCAATCCTATTGCAAATCCCCAGAACATTCTTAAAATTATCACTGACTGTATCTTAAAAGGTTAAAGAAACATGGTGTCCAATGTGTAAATGTCCTAAGGAAGTCTGTTTCTCTGGCCTTGAATTTTCCATCAGGGGCCAGCTATGTAACTTAGGGAACGTGAGACACAGACTCAAAAGATGAAAGCTCAACTCCTCACTTCTTTCCAACCAGGTTTGTGCCTTTGAGCAGAGCATTTCCACTTGCTGGAATTCTTTTCCCCCTTCTGGAAAGTAAGGGAAATTAAAATGCTGACTCTTGGTTTGCTTCTATTCAAATCTTCTTTACTGGCATTAATAGAAACATAAAGGAGTCACAAACATAAGCCACATAGGTAATTTTATTTCTTTTTTCTTGTTGTTTCTTTTAGAGACAAGGTCTTAATCTGTTGCCCAGGCTGGAGTACAGTGGCACAAACACAGCTCACTGCAGCCTTGAACTCCTGGGCTCAAGTGATCCTCCTGCCTCCGTCTCCTAAATAGCTAAGACTACAGGTGCAGGCTACTACACCCAGCTAATTTTAAAAATTTTGTGTAGAAATGGGGTCTTGCAATGTTGCCCAGGTTGGTCTCAAACTCCTGGCCTCAAGGGAACCTCCCTCCTTGAACTCCCAAAGTGCTGGGATTACAGGATGTGAGCCACTATGTCTGGCCTTCAGCCATATAGGTAACTATAAATTTTTTAGAAACCACTTTTGGCTTTAATAATGCTCTTTATCTCAGTATATTCAAAATATCATTCAACATATAATCAATATAAAAGCATTAATATTTTATGAATAAAAATATTCAACACGTAATCAATATAAAAACATTAATATTTTGATACTATCTCTTTTTCAAAGTAGGTGTTCAATGTCTGATTTATATTTGACACAAGACATCTTGATTCAAACTAGCCACATTTCAAGTACTCAGTACTTGTATCTAGTTACTACTGTTTAGGGTAGTGCAGTGTCATACCAGTGCTGGACATTGTTCCAAAGACACTCTATTTTGGTGAGAAGCTCACTTCTGTATCTCTGCCTCTGCTGCCAAAAAATATATATTATTGATTATTATTTGTTGGGAATGTCTAATTATCAGCAACAAAGTGTAGAATCTACTTGGATTTCTCAGAGAGTTTCAGTATTAGACCTTTGATTAATACCAGTGCTATTTCCCTGTAGTAGATTTGGTCTTCCAGTGACTTTTTCTTGTCTGGCTGAGTCATTCCCATTGAATTTTAGGTCACTTACTGTAAGCTTCACAGGATAATTAGGATAGAGTATCACTGTTAATCAACAACTTGAAAAGTATCATCTGCTTTTAAAAAGCAGATGAAAATACTAACTGACCTAAAAGGCGAAAGTAAAATTTAAAGTAAATGAATTTTACTTTATTTTCTCCAAAAATTAGCTACTTTCATTCATCAATCATGTTGCATGCCTCTCAAACCTCACACTAAGAAAAACACCTCCAGCCTCAACAAGCAGTGAAAAGTAGGTCAAATTTTTAAACACTACTCTGTTTTCCAATAAATTCAACAAATAATTCTTGAATACTTTCCACAGACCAGGAGCTGTACTTAGTGTTGAGGATTCCTGCCTTGATGGTTTAATTTCAAAGATTTCATCAGGTTAGCCCATTATCAGAGACTCTGGCATGTATGTTGGGGCAGGAGTATAGGTTTGCATTCTAGGGTATTTTTTCCTATAAAGCCTTCCCCTAGGATCTACATTTTTAAATGAGCCCATTTTTACCCCTCCAAATCTATTCTGTCTGCAAGACAAAATCTGCTGAAATATGTTATATACCACTTTTGGTGTATGCTGTAAATTAAAAATCAGCATGTTTATTGTAAAAGAAAATATTCAAGCAAATTAGAAGTCTGAAAAGAAAATGTTCCCCCTTCTCTTAATGCATTATCCCCAGGTGCACCCCTTAGAGGTGACCACTGTTGAAGTATTATTCTAAAACCTCCAAGCATATATAAATATGTACACACATATGAATACATATGCAAATTTTGAAAGAATATTTTTAAAGTAACATGTGATTATGAAGAAAATTCAAATAATACAGAAGCACATAAAAATGGAGTAATCTGTATTCACATACAATATTTGATGGCGTATTTTAAAGTAACACGATTATGGACAAAATGCAAATTGTAAAATGCAAAGTGAAATTTTTCCCTACCCCACATTCCCATAACCCAAAAGTAATAAAAAAATGCCCATAGTTGTGTCTTTGTGTGTGTGTGGATCTTTTGTGAATTTTTCTACAAATATATATAGACTATGCCTAACAGAGTTATGAAATGTGCTTTCAAATACTTTTTATTGTGAAATCTAATATATGCATAGGTAAGTGTACAAAACAACAAAGTGAGCCCTCTTGCAACAACCACTCAGGTTAAAAAGCAGAGTACTGCCAGCCCTCTTCAGGACTTCTAATCACTACCCCCTCTCACCCTCTCTCTCAGAGGTTTCCAGTATCCTGACTTTTAGAGTCATCAACTTGTTGTTGTTCTTATTAATTTTATTGCCTAAGCACACATCATTAAGCACTATAACTTTGCCTGTTATTAGAGTTTAAGTAAATAGAACCATACCATATGTATTTTCTTGTGTCTGGCTGCTTTTATTTACAAAATTTGTTTATTTTTAACTTAATACATCTTGGGGCATCTTAGTGAACATATATAGAATTGCCTCATTCTTTCATTTTCATGGTATAGAACTGAACATATTTCCAAATGAATAACCGAATTATTTTCACGCTTTTTGATCATTATAAATAATGTTGTAAAAAATATCTTGGGCATTTGTCTTTATAAATTAATTTTTTAAAACTTAAAAAGTAATCCTACTACTAATGTAAAATTAGGTGGAATATCAATTATTTCAGAATTCTGAATGAAAGAACCTTTATCTTTAAAAATCTATAAATGTCAAATGTAAAATATGTTGGGATCATAGTCTGGATATGAAGCAAAATTTGGTGCAATTTGCACCCAAAGCCAGCCAAGTCCTAATGTGAATGATACTATTAATTGACAATGAACACACACTCTGCGAGGCACTATTCTCTGCATTTTACATGCCCAACAACCCATTAAGTTAGGCCCTATAATTACTACCAATTTACAGATAAGAAAACAGGCCTGGAGATGATAAGTCACTTGGCCAACATCACACAGTGGTTAAGAGTAATATCTTTAACCCTTAGGTTTGTATACATCCTTGGGGACCCTCAATAAAGCAACAGCACAAGAGAATTTCCTCTGTGGTGATAGAACAGTTCTATATTTTGATTGTGCTAGTGGTTACACAAATCTATACATGGAATAAAATTGCATATAACTACACACACACACACACACACACAATTGAATACAAGTAGAAAATGGTGAAAATGGAATCAGGTCTGTAGTTAACAGTATTAGAGCTTGGATCCCAGAGGGGAGTGATAAAAAATAGTATTGGACTGATGTTAACTTCTTGGTTTTGATATTGCATTACAGTTCGATTACATATTATACTGTATTACATCTCATATGTAATACAGTAAAATGCTTATTTTATATTTTATATTACATATAAAATGTATTACATCTTATATGTAATACAGTATAATATGTAATCGAACTGTAATGCAATATCAAAACCATGGGTTTGCATTGGTGGTGAGCACAGGGAAAGGGAGATGCCTGACATGCCTTCTCTGGGAGTTGAGTGAAGGATACATGGAAATTATGTACTATTTTTCCAACTTCTTGTTAGTCTATAATTATTTCCAAATAAAATGCTTTTTTTTCTTTTCTTTCAAATGGAGTCTCGCTCTGTTGCCAGGCTGGAGTGCAGTGGTGCGATGTCGGCTCACTGCAACCTCCACCTCCCGGGTTCAAGTGATTCTCCTACCTCAGCCTCCTGAGTAGCTGGGACTACCGGCGCATGCCACCATGCCCAGCTAATTTTTTGTACTTTTAGTAGAGATGGGGTTTCACTATGTTGGCCAGGAAGGTCTCGATCTCTTGACCACGTGATCCGCCCGCCTCGGCCTGCCAAAGTGCTGGGATTACAGGCGTGAGCCACTGCGCTGGGCCACAAAATGCTTTTTAAGGGATAGGTGGTTTCCAGATCAGCTTTGGCATCAGTTGGGAACTTGGAAATGCAAAACCTCAGGTCCCACCTCAGACCTACTAAATTAGAATCTGCATTTTAACAAGAATCTCAGATGATTCATATGCACATTAAACTTTAGAAGCATTGTTATACAAGAAATAAAAGTGATATTCAAGTATTTCTCATCCTGCCACAAAACAAAAAAAGTTTCTTCATTTTAGGGGCAGAAGTTGTTCTGGAGGCCCAGGGCCTGCTCAGTGGTGTACAACCAGTTCAGTCACACAGGATACGTGGTCAGAAAACTCCTTTACCCCATGAGGTTTAATATTCTACCTTGAAATTCTTAATAATTTTATTTTTGAGTTTGTGTTTTATAAGTGAAATCCAATGAGACAACAGAGTATACACAGGGTGCTTGGAGCCTCAGCTCACCAACCAGCCCACTTCCCTGCTTTGCTGGGGTGGGGTTCTCAGCTGCCCCACTTCCCTGTACCCTTGTACTTTGGGTCCCATAGGCCTTTTCCAGCCTGTCCTCACCAACAATTTTTGCTGACCTCCAGCCTCAAAAGGAGGTTGTATTGCTCCCTGTGACATCTCAGGGTGAGGCATGGTGGCAGCTATTCCTGTCTCAGACTGGCAGCACCATGGCATGTTCATGGGTATTGGTGGGCAGGAGGGAGTCTCTTACCTGCCTCTGATCTAGCATGTTTGGCATAGAGGTGGCACTACTCTTGGGGGTCCCCAGCCACCATGGGATTGCATGGGTAGTGGGCACAGGGAAAGGGAGATGCCTGACATGCCTTCTCTGCCACCTGCCAGGGAATGGGTTGGGCAAGTGGATGGCAGTAGGAGAACTTAACGGTGGGTGACGTGAGGGCTTAGTCACAGAGCGAGGCCCTATGTGAATCTGCATTCATCCTGCAGGTATTTCCATGCCTAAGAATGTGCAACATTAAATAGTAAATAAAAACACCATGATAGGTTGAGGGAAAGACTGTGGAATAACAGAAAAAGCTTCATATTTTAATTTTCTTGCTTTTTAAATAGGAGGCTCCACATTTTCATTTTGCGCTGGGCCTCACAAGTGATGTAGCCAGTGCTACAGAGGCCATTGGGAATCAAAAGATGAACTTTCAGGCTGTATTTGGCAGATGCATGGGCCCAGTGGTGAACTCTAATGGGTACCAAAAGCAGCATTCACTAGAAGATGGCCTCCAGGAACCCTTCAGCAACAAAAGGTTTGTTCATCCCCCTTTTATTAAAGGAGACTTTCAATCACAGAAAATATAAGCCAGCACCAAGAACTATAAGCACAGATCTCCCAATTCTTTGTATATCTGTCAGTACCTAGGTATACTTCCATATTTTCTATATATGTCTACAAAGAAAGTAATCAGCGTAACACTTCTACTTTTATTTTTATTTTTTTGCTGTTTGTTTGTTTGTTTGTTTGTTTTGAGATGGAGTCTCACTCTATTGCCCAGGTTAGAGTGCGATGGTGTGACCTTGGCTCACGGCAACCTCCGCCTCCCAGGTTCAAGCGATTCTCCTGCCTCAGCCTCCCAAGTAGCTGGGATTACAGGTGCCCACCACCATGCCTGGCTAATTTTTATATTTTTAATAGAGACAGGACTTTACCATGTTGGTCAGGCTGGTCTCAAACTCCTGACCCAAGGTGATCCACCCATCTCAGCATCCCAAAGTGCTGGGATAACAGGCTTGAGCCACCATGCCTTGCCACACTTCTACTTTTAAAAATTAAAATTCCTATGCAGCTTTAAATATAGAAAAAACATGGGACTTTGGAATAAGTCTTAGATGAGGGAGAGAAAGGATTTAGGTTATAGGGAATATGTTCATACTTTTATATGTATAGCTCTTCTTAAATTAATCCATACAATAAGTACTCATTGAGCCCTCCCAAAAAGACCACTAGTAAACTTAAACTAATTCTCTCTGAAGCATTTTTGAGATCCTGTACTTTTTCCAAAAATAATTTTTAAATCCTGCCTTTTTCAACTCTTCCCCATAAATAATTTATTGATGACTAAAAAAATTATATTCAGAAATAACACACATATTTATTGTTCATACTCTTGTTTCTCTATCCTGGGCAGTGTCAATCTTTCTTTTACTTATATCCTCTATCCTGAACTGATAATGTTACTTAGCATATGTCATGTGTAACTGAAGAGAAGGCAAAAGCTTAAAAGTTATTTTGTCTAGGAAGGTGTTCTCAGTGAGTTTGTTTAATAGGATAAATGCAAATTTTTATCTGTAGCATGACCCCAATTTTAATCTCATGCATTTATATATATATAATTGTGGCTGGGATGAATTGGTACATAAAGTTCTTAGTAATGGTTGTTTTAGGGTGTGGAATTGTAGGTGATTTTAGTTTTCTTTTTTCTATTTCTCTGTATTTTCCCAGTTTGTCTTCAGTGAATATTATAGGGGACGTTAGCAACATTACATGATAGAGCCCTAATGCATCTGATACTCATTATTCTTTAATATGAACCACTTGGATTTTTTTCAGAAATGTACTTTGCTCTTTTGGATACTGCCACCAGTTCACTGACAGGAGTGATGAAGCTGAGTGTGAATTTCCCACATTTAAGGAGTGTTAATTCATTTAGTAGCATAATTAAGTCGCCACCTGATAACCCAAGAGTCAGTGCAACTCATCAGACTTTAAATGCCCAATTAATTTACTCTTCTGTGCTACATCAGCATATGTATCCTGATTTTGTTAAGTGTACCATGAAGGTTTTTTTTAAAAAATATTATGTTGTAGGACAATGATTTCCATATAATACTGTAGAACAGTGGGTCCAGGAAGCCTAAAAACTCCTTCTTATAGTTTCAGTTGAAAAATTGCTTATCCAATTGCAACAAAAGCAAAAATTGACAAATAGGATCTAATTAAATTAAAGAGCTTCTGCACAGGAAAAGACACTATCAATAGAGTAAACAGACAATCAACAGAATGGGAGAAAATGTTTGCAAACTATGCATCTGACAAAGGTCTAATATCCAGCATCTAAAAGAAACAAACAAATTTACAAGAAAAAAAAACAACCACATAAAAAAGTGAGCAAAGGAAATGAACAGATACTTTTCAAAACAAGACATACATGTCGGCAACAAGCATATGAAAAAAGGTTCAACTTCACTGATCATTAGAGAGATGCAAATCAAAACCATAATGAGATATCATCTCACACCAGTCAGAATGGCTATAATTAAAAAGTCAAAACATAACAGATGCTGGGGAGGTTGCAGAGAAAGAAGAACACATATACACTGTTGGTAAAAGTGTAAATTAGTTCAATCATTGTGGAAAGCAGTGTGGAGATTCCTCAAAGAGCTAGAAACAGAACTACCGGTCAACCCAGCAATCCCATTACTGAACATATACCCAAAAAAATATAAATCATTCTATCATAGAGACACATGCACACGTGTGTTCATCCAGCACTATTCACAATAGTAAAGACATGGAATCACCCTAAATGTCCATCAGTGGTAGACTGGATAAAGAAAATGTGGTACATACACACCGTGGAATACCATGCAGCCATAAAAAAAAAAACCAAGATCCTGTCCTTTGCAGGAACATGGATGGAGCTGGCGGACTCCAGCAAACTAATGCAGGAACAGAAAACCAAATACCACCTGTTTTCACTTAGAAGTGGGAGCTAAATGATGAGAACACATGGACACATAGAGGGGAACGACAGATACTGGGTTCTTCCTGAGAGTGTAGGGTGCGAGGTTGGAGAGGATCAGGAAAAACAGATAATGAGAACTAGGCTTAATACCTGGGTGATGAAATAACCTGTACAACAAACCCCCATGACATGAGTTTACCTATTTAACAAACCTGCACATGTACCCCTGAACTTAAAAAAAAGTGAAAAAAAAGAAAAATCACTTATCTTATAATCATGGAAGAATCTATCATAATAAAATGTGTACAGTATATACTTACTAATTGTAACTGTTAACATGTCCTACTTTCAAGAGCTTTCAAATAACTTCTGTTTTCCCATAGTATTTTCCAGATAGAACTTAGGCTATTAAATGAAAGGACAGGAAGCATAAGCACAGTGTGAATTTCCCCAAAAATACATGCGGCACAACTTAATTGACAATGTGAAGGTATTAAAAGGTAGAGCCTTTAGAAGGTGATTAAGTTAGGAGGGCAGAGCCCTCATGGATGGGATTAGAGACCTTACAAAATGGCTTGAGGTAGTGGGTTTGTTTTCTTCTGCCCTTTTGCACAGACACTGCAAGAAAATGTCATCTGTAGGACAAGCCCTCACCAAACACTGAATCTGCCAGTGCTTCCTAGCCTCCACAACTGTCAGAAATACATTCCTATTGTTTATAAGTTGCCCAGTTTGTGGCATTAATATTTTGTTATAGCAGCAGAAATGTACTAAGAAAGTCCTCAAAATACGGCAGCTATTATTAGTGTTATCTACTTAATCTAGACACATAAATATTAATCATGTTAAAAAATACCCACAAAGACAACAGCTAACATCATCATCATGCTACTGAGTGTCATTTTACAGAAAAGAAAACTAAGGCACAGAGAGGTTAAATAACTTGCCCAAAGTCATACATTAATAAATGATAGGGCAGGGGTCAGAATTGAGGAAATATGGCAGCCAAATACACCAACTGGAAAACAGAGAACGAGAAAAAACATCTGCCAACTGAATGATCAAGTTAAAAAATATTTATTCAGGGCAGCTGTGCAAAATGAAGCCTTCTTCCTCAAGAAGCTGAACTATAATCTCACTGTAATATAATCTCACAGTGATTAAAAACACACTTGAGTAAGAAAGAATCTTCTCCCTTAAAAAGCTGACAATTTAGTGACAGTTAAGGTAGAAGATGAGTTTTAAAAATTAGGTAATCTAGTGTGTATCCTGGATGTCAAAACCAATAAATAAATAATAAACAAGAGATAGGAGTGTATGCTCTTTAAAGTACTTTCCATATCTGGAAGATTCTATAACTCTCTTTGCTTTAAGTTTTGCCATGAAAAGTTAGAAAAATTTCAAAAGCCAGCTATATACATGAACCACAAGCACAGGGATTCATTCAAATGAATCAGGAATAACCTCTGGTTTGGTATTATAATTCCGCAAACTGCAGAACTTTGTCTGAATATGAACACCAAATCAGCAAAATCTGACTCCCCGTTGCTAACACAGAACTAGTTTATATCATATTCATGTGTGTAGTTGCTTTGGGTCCAGTCTCTAGAAATGCTCCATCTTACCTAAGTATCAACAAAGGCAGGAAAAACCTTGTCCAAAAATATTTTTAAGTGGTTGATGTGGGCAGATGGAAACAACGGAATACTAGATCTACAGAATATCTGGTGGAGAATCTAGATTTTGATTGTTTGTATTTGATGGGATTTTCAAATTACTTTTAAAAGTAAGTCATAAGTGCCAGCCTGAATTAGAGGGGGAGGACTCTCTAGGGACTCAGGCTGTGTTTTGAGAAATGTGCTTGGGAGCACAGTGCACCTTATCCCCAGAAAGGAAAAGTGCCCTTGAAGATTACAAGCAACAATTTCTATCTTGCCTCCAACATGACCAGAATAGGGTGGAGCCACAAGATTTGACTCCCCCTGGCTATCGTCAGGGGACCAATTACTATATTCATGGCTAACTTAATGGGATCCTGAGTAACATCATTAAGGGCCCAGTAGGCAATAAATGATTATAAAAGAACCTTGTGAAATTCCCTAGGTAGACCATGCCTGGTCTAGCTCCCTTATCTAATACCATCTGTGGATGCATAGATGACCTGGAAATGGAAATTGTGTAACTAATAACTTCTAATTGAAAGAAATTTAACTTAAGTCTATTTATACTGCTCACTGCATGTTATATCTTAGTTCACACCTAGGGAATCTAAACTAGTTATTGCCAACCTCTCTGGAACCCCGAAGCTCAACCATCATTGAATTTCACAACACTTACTTGTACTATGTGAAAGAGTATTTTAAAAATTCAGTTGAACGGTAATTTAAAAATTCAGTTGAAGTGTAATAGTTTTTGTTAGGAGAATTTTGCAACCTTTTGAGAAACGAGTCAGGGTGCCAAACAGAGTGGGTTTGTTTTTAAAATGCAGATTCTTGTCCACTCCCCAGACCTAATAAATCAAAACCTCTGAGGGCTGGGGCCCAGGGACCTAAAGTTTAACAAGCTCCTCAGGTAATTCTTATGTACACTAAAGCTTGAGAATGTCTGCCCTAGGGTATCGCCAACCCAAAGATAAAATCACTTGTTACTACCAAATGTTATAAAATGTTGCACTGCTAGCACTACCTAATTGGCTATAGGAAACCAGCACTTCTTAGCATTAGAAAAATTTCCATCACAATTTGACTTTCTCATACTTAGGGGTGTGACTTTATATGCAGTGATGCTGAAGAAATCTGGCCCATCCTGTGAAGGCTGCTGGTAATAGGCTCCCCTTCTGCCCATGCATGCCACTGGTACCATGATTGGTAGGTCCCTAATGTAATCACAGTCCTCCTCCTTCATGGCATGCTCTGCTCTCTCCTCATCTCTAAAGTAAGGACAATTGTTATTCCATGTGCAACTGCTGAAAATTGTTTTTAAAAAAGTAAGGACAATGTTAATTTTGCATAACTCATAAAAACCAGTACAACTTTCCCTTATCAATATTTTAAAATGTATATTTCTTATATTGTTCTTTCATTATATTTACAACAGCTTGTCCTTATGGTTGTAAACCATAAGGGATTGACCCTTAACAAACTTTTTAAAATAATATTCATAAGCTTATCAGAGTAAGGAAATGACAAAAACAAAGCAAAGGATGAAACTGGCTTCAGTAGCACAAGAGAAAGGCCATCCCCTCAAGATATGTGAAGCTATCCCCTCAAGCACTTAATAATTCTTTCACCAAATCCAAATGTAACAAGTCATATCTTAGGCTGGAAATGTTTTGCCTTTTGCAGAATATCAGAAGCCAGAAAGCTTCGAAAACTATTAAAGAATTCATAACACAAGTATCTTTTTTAAGAGAAGTTACCTTGCTTGTTTGTTTTTCAGGAAGAAATAATAGCTGGTACAAACACTTGATGAAAACAACATTTATCTCTCTATTGAATTTCCACAGAAACTGGAAATTGGAGCGTACCTGTTAAAGTAAAAAGTTCAGTTGCTGAGGCACTAGAAATCAAACTGCTTTCAAAAAGAAAATTCTCCCAATCAGACACCATTCAGCCTAGGTCTATTAGCGTCACTTGTCAAAAGGCAGAAATCTTAAGTGGGATGAATCATAACAGCTGGTTCCCACCAACTGACACTCCACCAGACAGGAAGCTGGTTATCAATGGGTGGTAAGGTGTCACCACTGTCCAGGCAGCTTGGTCAGAGTGATGGGGCCTGTAAGAGTTGGTAGCTCCCTGGAAAGCCCCTTGAGGGAATGTCTGCAGATGATAGGGTCAGTAGATGGTTTTTGGTTTGTGTGGGTGAGTGGGGGTGTGTGTGTGTGTGTGTGTGTGTGTGCGTGCAAATTTTTGCATTTTGACTTTGATGCAGAGAAACTCAACTTAAATGCTGTAGTGTACACGGGTCTTTTTTCTACACAGGGAAAGGCTACAAGAAGTATAGCTACAACCCTTCTGAGTCACTATATAAACTGAATGAACATTGAAGATAAAATTGTTGAGAAATAATCCATTTGCTTGGATAAGAAGACTGAAAAGGAAACTGATTAGGATGCTTGAGAGAATTTGTTTCTTTCTTGCAGAGATGTTCTAAAGTTAATTATACTATAAAGCTACAATAATCATGACAGTGGGTACTGATGAAAGCAGAGACACGTAGATCAATGTAGCATAGAGTGCAGAAATACATCCATACAAATACTGTAGTCAACTGATTTTTTTACTTAGGTGCAAATACAGTTCAATGGAAAAAAACGATTGTCTTTTTAACAAATAGTACTAACCCAAATGCCAAAAAATCACCCCAGACACGTATCTCACACCTTATACAAAAAACCTGGCTCAATATCCTACCCCCACCCCTGAGCCAGACCCTACTCTGCTCATACACCCATGCTGGCCACCATTCAGCAGCTGGAAGGACAATAGCATCGAGTGGACAGCAAATGCTTTGATGAATACACGATGGAACTAGGAGTGGGAATAGTTCTGTGAAAAATGCATGCAATGGCCCAACCAGATTGTAACATCTCTTGTAACAGCAAAAACCATCATAAACACTGAGAGCACTCTGAAACCAACACAGTTCTCTTGTACCCTGGTGGAGAAGTTTGAAGAAACTACAGCTAATAGCAGAAAAACACAGACTGTCCACAACTTCATACATGGCACATTGGTTCAACATCAGGAATGGAAAGGAAAGGAAAGCACAATAACAAGAAAGTTAAAAAATGGAAAATTAATGGTGGACCGCATCCTGAACAATGTCACCTGTACTCAGGTCTACAAAAAAGTAGAATAAAAATTCTTTCATCACTTTGGAAAGTAATTAGCTGAGAGAATGAACAAGCTCAGTTCAACAAGCAAACCTCCATAAGTATCTTATGTGCAATTAATTTAAAGTGCTGGTTTAATTAGGATCATCCCTTCGGTTCGTAAAGAAATGTACTTGTGCTAATAAAAAATCAACTTGAAATGGGCCATAAACTTAAATGTAAATGTAAAACTGTAAAACACTTAGAAGAAAATGTATAGGAAAATATTTGTGACCTTGAGCTAGGCAAAGAGTTCTTAGATATAACACCAAAAGCACTATCAGAACAAGGAAAAAAAATTGATAAACTGGACTTCATCAAAATCAAAAACTTTTTTTGCTCTGCAAAAGATACTTTAAGAGAAAGAAAAAACAAGGCAGGGACTGGGGGAAAATGTTTTTGAATCATGTATCTAGATTATATAAAAATCATCAAACCTTAATATGAAAGCAACTCTTTTTTTTAAAAGGACAAAAGATCTGAAAAGACACTTCAACAAAAAATATATACTAATGGCAAACAAACACATGGATATATGGTCTATATTACTAGTCATTAGGGAAATGGAAACCAAAACCACAATGAGATACTACTATGTATGCTCTAGAATGACTTAAAAAAAAAACCTGACAATGCCAAGTGCTGACAAGTACACAGAAAAACTTGAATTCTCAAATGCAAAATGGTACAGTCACTATGAGCAATAGTTGGGCAGCTTATTATAATGTTAAATATACACTTACTATACATAATAATCCCACTCTTAAGTATTCACCCAAGGGAAATAAGACTTGGCTGAACATAGTGGCTCACACCTGTAAACCCAACACTTTGGGAGGCTGTTTGAGACCAGCCTGGGCAACACAGTGAGACCTTATATCTACAAAATAAAAAGAAAATAATTAGCTGTGTTTGGTGGCATGCCCTGTAGTCCCAGCCATTAGGGAGGCTGAGATGTGAGAATGGCTTGAAGCCAGGACTTTCAGGCTGCAGTGAGCTATGACTGAGCCACTCCACTCCAGCCTGGGTAACAGCAGGGGGACCCTGTTTCAAAAAAAAAAAAAAAAGAAATAAAAGAAATAAACAAAGAAGACATATTTACATAAAAACCATTTGTGAATGTTTGTAACAGCTTTATTTACAATCACCCAAAATTGGGTATAATGTAAATATCCTTCAGCTGGCAGCTAAACCGTGAAGGACCCATAAATGGAATAGTATTGAGCAATAAAAAGGAACAAACTACGGGTACCTGCAACAACACGGATGAATCTCAAATGCATTATGCTAAGTGAAAGAAGCCAGACTCAAAAGCCTACATAATGTATGATTCCATGTGTATGACATCCTAGAAAAGGCCAAACCATAGTGATGGAAAATAGATCAGTAGTTGTTAGGGGTTAAGGGTGGGTGGCAGGAAGATCTGACTACAAAGGGACAATGTATTTTCAAGGAGTTCCTTCGAGGAGGTAATAGAATTGTTCTGTTTGTCGAATTTTTGATATAAAATATATACCAAAAAGAGTAAATTTTACTGTATGTAAATTAAAAATACATTTTAAAAAGGTTACCTGAGCTAACACTTAAATATTTTATAGTAAATTTTCTGGGATAATTGTCATTGCAAACTCAAAAGTGCCTTCAAATTTTCTATTTTTAAAGTACATTTCCAATGCCATGCTTCTGTTTTGGCAAATATTCAAAAATTACATTTAATTAATCTGTGCAAGCCTATATGCTTACAATGAGTATGTAAAATATAGGGTAATTTTAAAAACACAAGATACAAACTTTAAAAAAGAGATTCAGGAACCTAAAAATGAGGCAAATATACTTAGTCAATATACCAAGTCAGAATCTATTTAGGAAAGACTTCTTCCTCTATGTAAAAACAAAATTTTTCAACACTTGACAAAGCTAAATCATGATGCTTGGCTTTCTATGCTATTGAAGTTTAATACAATCTGTTGACTCCAGTCTCAGTATACTCATCAGGGGTCACAGTCATAATAGATCATCAACATTATGAACTGTTGTTTTTGAGAAATGTGGATAATCCCCATTAGAGGCTAATACTCTTTTTGCAGGTAAATCAAATTATACCTTATACTTCTTATATTTTTTGTGCTGGTTTAGTTGAGAAATATTGGAGAGAAAAGTCACAATTCAAATACTTGATGCTTTTAAATTATCCAGAATCATTTTATACATGAGTGATTTATTCAAGGCAAAGATTAGAGGGACAGAATCAGAAACAGAGAGCAGTTCTCCTTATTCTCAGTTAATAGCCCAGCTTCTAAAATCAGATCACAGGTTATTAAACACATTTCTATTCATTAGTCATCATTAAAGTTCATTTGCTATGACAATTTGAAAGTGGCCTTATCTCTGTTAGTACTATGCAATAATATCGGCTCTCAGAGATAAATGTATTCCTTTCCTTTTCCAGATGCATAACATTCCCTAGGATCAAACTGAAATGTTGAGTCATTTAGGACAGATAATATTCAGTGCACACTCAGCAAACTTTATTCAATATGTGGCTACTACCAAAAGCAATGATCTTTCATTAAATGCTTGTTGCAAATTATCATTTAAGCTTCACATTGTTCATTATTTACACTGGCAGTACCCTATTTCCAATTCCCAAATGACACAGAGCCTCCTCTGATCATTCATCTCTCTGCTTACTTTCTCCCTAGTAATCTCTTTTGTTCTCTTTACTTTCCAGATCAAAGTGCCTTCAGGCTTCCCAATAACTGCCTACAACAGTGAATGGCCTTTTCTGCCATTCCCAATGAGTAAGGTAAGCAAGGTCAACACATCACGATGGGTGTGCACCGAATAAGTGCAACGCCTAAGGAGTGGTTATTAATTCCAAAGCTTTTTCCTTCACTCAAAAAACATGCGTGAAGCAAGTGACTTAGAGTGATGTTATCACTAGGAAAATCTTGGAAATATACACAGGGATACATGCAAACATCCCTCAAGCATAAGATACCTGTGTTAGTAAGAGTGGCCCACCATAGTCATAATTCTAAATAAGAAGGAAGTGTGTTGCCATTAGAGTGGGCATGAAATTTAGGAATATTCCCCAATTCTTTTTCTCATCCTCTTTCTTCATAACCTCCCTCAGAAAACTTGCTCAATTTCACAATCTCTACTATTACTCAATAGGTTGACTCTGAGGCCTAAGACTCACATTTTCAAATGCCTGCCAGACATTTAATCCACTGATACCGCTAACCTAAACAAGGTCTTTCTCCTGATTCCCTTGTTTCTTTTCATATAATATTATCTTCTAGTAAACCAAACTTGAAGCTAGTAGTTACTTTTAATTCCTCATGCTCATTCACCTCTCATACTCAAATAAAGCTGCCAAATCAGCCAACTCTACCTTCACAGAGCCATGATATTCTTCTCCTTTTCTCCATTCCCATCATTAATACCCTAGTACAAGGCCTCATTACTTTTTGCCTCCTAACTCTGCTCTTTTTTGTCATAATCACTCCCCCTCCACTTGTAGTACCTTATTTCAAATTCCCAAATGATACAGAGCCTCCTCTGATCATTGGTCTCCCCGCTTACTTTCCCCATAGTAATCTCTTTTGTTCCCTTTACTTTCCCAAATCAAAGTGCCTTCAGGCTTCCCAATAACTGCCTACAACAGTGAATCCATTCCAATCCATTACTTATACTTTTGTCACCTGAACAGTCCTAACATATAGATTAGATCATGCTACTTCCTGTTCGGAAGCCTCCAACAGTTCCCCATTGCTCACAGATCGAAGTCCATATTCCTTAACCCAATACTAAAAGCTCTCCTCACAATCTGTCCCCAATCCATCTTTATTGGCTCCATCTGTCACAATCACCTTCGAGCACCACATATTCCTGTGAAAACAGATTACTGTCTTTCCCCCAAAACACCGTATGATAGCTCATAAGATCCTTAAACTTAGAATATTTTAATACTCCCATTATCGCAGATAGAAAACTTTGACATTCCAGTGCTAACTCTTCCATGGAGCTTTTCCCAACACCCTGAGCTGAATATGTTCTCACAATCCATAACTCCTCCATCACTGAATTAGTCCCTGCATAGTGCTTCTCACCTAGTAGGTCTTATCTTCACCTCTTACATCCTCTATTAGACTATACTGCTTGTTTCTAATTCTGTAAATATTCTAACCTATAAGGGTCATATTGGTTTTTAATTTTCCAAAACCCAAGGCAAAAGCAAACGTTCCCAATATTGGAGGCCATAACAGATGCAAAGATCAAAGATGATAAATATGATACTTGAATAAACAGCTGAATGAGAATACAATGAAATCAGCTAGGGCTACAATTCTAAGTCAAAACAAAGAAGTCTTCTGTGTCCGTATGTGTTGATATATTTCTTCTCTGCTTTTTGTCATGACATGTTGTGGAAACCATGTCATAAAGTGAGAGATACAGTCCCGCGGGAAGAGTGATATTATAGGGGATGTGTATTTGACCAAAGATTCCTTATTAAATAAGCGACAGATATGAACAACATGCAATAAAAACAAAGATATATCAACTGTAAATCTTTCCAATAATTTAAAATCATAATCTGAGCTTTTTCAAATGGGCACCTATGCGCTGTGCATATTTGTTATACCAAGGGTTCTAATATATCACAAATTATATATACCACACATAAAAATAGAATTAACTTTCATAAATCTCATTAAAGTCAATATGCTAGCTATAATAAACCAAAGCTGAATGGATCATTTTATTTGCCTTGTTGCTATTTAGAAGGATATTGGGTGTTTGTGTGGAAAGAGTTATTCAAATGACTTAAGTCTTGCTTTCAAGACCAACAAAAAAACCAGCCCCCAACCTGCCCATGGAAGTAGAACCAACCATTTTCTCTTTATTAATTTCACTGTGATAACCTGACACATTCATTATAATTCCTCAGACCTTATAGCCATGTTCAAAGGTAGATATGCGAGATTTGGAAAAGGAAATCTCAGGTTCTAGCCTGGCTCTGTCACTTATCAAGTGAGTGATACATACCCTTTCTGCGCCTCAGTTACCTAAAAGGTAACTATAGTATAAAACAATGGCTACCTCAGAGTTACACAGAAAATTCAGAGATAGTGTAACTAAATTGCTTTTAAACTTCAAAACCCCATCAAGAATAAGCTTTTTTATTTATGTATTAGTCTGTTCTCATGCTTCTAATGAAGACATAAACAAGACTGGGTAATTTATAAAGGTAAGAGGTTTAATTGACTCACAGTTCAGTGTGGCTGGGGAAGCCTCAGGAAACTAACAATCATGGTGGAAGGGGAAGCAAACACGTCCTTCTTCACATGGCGACAGCAACGAGCAGTGCCAAGCAAAGAGGGAAAACTCCTTATAAAACCATCAGATCTTGTGAGAACTCACTCACTGTTAGAAGAACAGTAGCATGGCGGTAACTGTCCCCATGATTCAATTACCTCCCATTGGGTCCCTCCCACAACATTTGGGGATTATGGGAACTACAATTCAGGATGAGATTTGGGTGTGGACACAGCCAAACCACATCAATTTACTTATTTATTTATTTATTTATTTATTTATTTATTTAAAGATAGGGTCTCACTACATTGTCTGGGCTGGAATGCAGTGTCTATTCATAGGAAGGATCATAGTGGACTGCAGCCTCAAACTGCTGGACTCAAAGAATCCTTCTGCCTCAGCCTCCTGAGTAGCTGGGACTACAGTATCACACAACTGCACCTGACAAGAATAAGCTATTATTAATTATCAAAATCATTCTTGAGGCTGATGGCATTTGGTCCACTATTAGCATGTTTAAAAGTGAAAGGCTAAACAAACATTCCCTCCCCACCCCATGTCTTCCTAACTCCTCAGTTTATTCAGAAATACATTTGCTCCTTTTTAGTACAAAACAGCATGGAAATGGTAAGAGTTGTTAGGTCACTCTTTACCACTCTTCTCCTTTTCAGAGCCTATATGATATCTTTCAGGGCACTCTGCACTACACTGAATAGCCATAAAACAATTATCATCTGGGAGAATGGCCACTTTGGTCACTATGCTGGACATAGTTCAGTTCTGTGGACAGGACATTTTCTTCAATCAGGGAAGAAGGGGAGAATTTTCTTGGTGTTTAGAGGAATCAAATCTGAGTCCTTTTGCCTCCAAAGGACATACAACTTTCTAGAGACTGCTCTTAATGTGGAGAAAGGCAAGGAATAGAGAGAGGGGAAAAAAGCTAAAAAGGTATTAATGAAGACTGAGTATCTCCATCTTAGGAAGCTAACGTGCATGTGTATTCAATACATGTGAAAGGAGAGATAGCCCTGGCCACCTAGCCTTCTACTCAGCCCCATTAAGAGTGAAGAAGGGCTTTGAACTGGAAGGGAGGAGGGACTTTCCTTACTTCCAAATCACAATTTTTTTTTTTAAATAACCAGACTCTTCTAGAAAGAGAAAGGAACTTTGGAGACTAAGAAAGTGTACAGGTAGATGTCCCCAGATGGGATAACACCTCCTAATCCTGGGAAGAAGCAGAGGCTGCCAGCCCCAGGAAGTGCACAGCCCAAGTCCAGTGTCCTTTCAGTACCTCAATAAGTATACACCTGGGGAGGGAGGCTTGACTTTGCTGAGGCTAGAACCCCAGGGCTGCCAGTTTCAGCAAAGTTCTCAGATAAGCGATTCCTTTCAGAAAATCATATGGACATGGTCCATCATCATATTACAAGGCTAGGGAGGGTTTTAGCCTCCCTTCTCATAATCCCCATCAGTGCCACTTAACCCTACCCCCATAAAAATACACAACATAAGTAAACACAGTATGTTTGCTCTACAAACACACTTTCAATTCAGGTCCTCTATTTCCTTCTATCTAGGTTGCGCTCCATCCCAAACCCTTCCTAAAAAGAAACTCTTGAGCCTCTAAAGGATTATACCAGCAGAGATGGACCTAGATTAGAGAGCCCTCCCCATATATTCTGGAGCCTTTGTATGACTTGTAAATTAACTGTCCTACTACTCAGATGGGGAACTCAGAGCCAAATTTAGCAATAATGATGATGATGATAATAATAATAATGCAATGTAACATTTCTTGTACTTAGAGTAAATATTCACACAATACAATAAAAATTATTCAACTTAAAACCTGTATTTACATAACAAAATCTATGCCCTAACTATAGGTATCTTACTTTTATTCTCTATGAATATCTGCTGAAGTACTTTTAAAACTATCAAGCTTCCACTTCAATTGTGCCCAAGGCAAGGAAATTTAGTACATTTTAGATTTTAGTACATGGCTGGGCAAAGTCTTGAAGGGAGAGCAGTGTAATGATTGGGTCAAACACAACCATTGCACAAGGGAGCAAGCAGCACTGGGGAAGAGAATTTAAAAGGGAAAGATTTTCTCTCTGGAAATTCTACATTGAGAGAGCTTCTGTGCTATAACTCTATAAGGTTCTATGTTCTCTTTTTGTAACAGAAGCCATTGCCTTGTATTAAGACATTAATAAGAATTAACTTTTTGTATAGATGAGTTTAAGAAATAACCTGCAAAACTGCTAATACAGGTATAAGACAGAATGCCCTTCTGCATTGGCAGTCACTACAGCAGATTTGGAAAACTAGAAACCTGTGGGCTAACTTTGGCCTAAAACTTTTTTAGTGTCCAGAAAATGCTTATTAAAATTTTTAACTTAAGTGTTACAGAATAAATATTAGGAGATTTACATAAAAATCTTTGTTTCTCAGCTTTAAAAAAAAACAGAAGATCTGGCAACATTGGGCCACCTTATGTTCACCTGGCAACAATCAGCTGAACCAAGAAATCACTGAGCCCTTTAAACCTCCCAGCTCACTACCGTCCAGCATCTTCAGTCCCTATGACATTGTATCTGCCCTCTTTCACTCATTTGGATATCCAGTGGTCCCTGAAGGCATCTGAATTGGTGACCTCTGTACCAAAGATGTGAGAAACAGTCATTAAATATGCAGCAACCTGGAATGAGGGGTGGCCCAGCATTTGAATGCCAGAGAAGGCCTTGATAGTCACATATCCTTTGCCAGCACTGTATACTAGACATGAGAGATGGAGCAGGCCCTGCATCAAATTCCTTTTAGCCTTTTTCCTGCACTGAACTGTCTTATATGACAGATTTCTTCTCAGTTATTAAATCTAATCCATAGCTACTCAGTGTATATAAGGACTGGAAGGACATTTAAAGAGCTGATTCCGACCCTGCCTCTCCTGGTTATGTTAGGCAGGTTGCTTTTAAATAAATGGGGGTCTCAGTTCCTCCTTCATAAAACTAATGTGTCCACCTGGAATCATCATGAAGATCATTTTTAGTTGGGCTGTCTCCATCTATACCACCTCCAACTTATCTAGAATCTACTCAACCCTCAAGAGCTGTTCAAGTTCTATCACCTCCATTAAACCTCTTCAGACTTCTCCTTTCTTTGAATTTTTGAGCTTATCACCAACACCGTCCAAATTAGCATTTACTAATTTTCTAATTGCTTTGCTTTGACTATACTGGTTCACTTGCCACACTGAAACAGAAAATTCCTCTAGAGACTTTACAGTTTAATTTTTAAATCCTCTACCGCATGTTATACTTAACTGGTATTCAATGATTATTTAATTATTTAAACCAGATAAAGATACAGAAAATATGTATAAAATGGCAACCTTCCCAAAAAGCACCTTTCATCAGCCTCCTCAAAATAAATTATCCTAACCAGCATCATAACTTGACCATCTGATTCAGGCAGGCGTAATGTGTACTATGCCTGTGAGACATCAATGAAAAGACACTGCTAGATTACCATATTACTTTGTACTTGATCATTTCCTCCTTCCACAGTTGAAAAGCTCAAAAGGGGAAAAATACAAACAACCATTAACTCACTACAATAATATATTAATCCGTGAAAGATTTGTTACCCACTAAAATAGGGCATGAGAAAAATTTTCCTATTATAATTTTTAAAAAAAGTCAATTACTAGTAAGAAGCTACAGGTCAGATATTTGAAAACTACAACGAAAACCATCCTTACTCCTCCCCCACCCGCTTGGATGTCATCAGAAATTCTGAGTAAGAGTAGGCCAAGTTAGGATATCATGTGGGTGGGGATTTACCCACATTCACCGGAAAAGCAGTGGGATACAGGTTTTACTTGTTCCGGTCAAACCTCCCTTCCCCCTCACCTCCCAAATAATTAAGGCTTTAGCTATGTGCTCAGTCCTTTACTATCAAAAAAAAAAAAAAAAAAAGAGAGAGAGAAAAGAAAAGTTCAAGTACAGAATTATTTTTAGATTATAGTCCGCTTAGAGATGAACTATTTGAATAAGGTTTCTACTTTTGGAAAGCGGAGAAAACTAGGTAGTAAAGCCTCTATTTCCCTTCTAAGAGTAAACTTTTTAATCCAATTTGATGATTACCTTAATATCTCTACTACATGAATTTAAGATAACACTGTATCACTAAAGTAAATGAAATTAGCAAGCGTTAATCACGTCTTAACAGCTAGCCAATCTTAGTGGATTGAAATTAAGTCAATTTACAAACTGTTTTCCTGTGATGGAGTAACACTTAATACAGGTGTTTCCACTTAATCCAATTCATTCTGTAATTCACATTATACACCTACTATGTTTGAAGGTCTGAATCAAAAAGGAGTGTACCCGTACGGTGGGGAAGGCATTTATTGGGAGGGGAGGACATGGAATCATGGCCCTAATCCATTTAAAATAATGAAAAATACTGATTAAATATCTATAAACTTTCCCGGGGAATCCCAGTAGAACAGAACATGGTTTTATAAGCTGAGGGTAAAAACAAGCGTCTCAGTTTTTTTATTAAAAGAACTTTTTTAAACTGCCTTTCAACAGTTTGAAAGCTTTCAATGGTTTGTTTTATCTGGTGTTTCTGATCAACCAATTAATCCATCCTCTGACAGGAACCCATCTGTCAGTCTATCCACACACAATCTGAAAGGGACTCCAGATTAGGCTCCCTCTTTTAGCCACGCCTACACAGGAAGCATCCTGTGGATGGAATGGAAAGTATGCCAGGCCTTTGCACGCCCCTCACGCCCCCATCTCCTTCGCTTAACCTCGACAGCCTCTTACCTTTAAACCCTAGCTAGGTTTTCACACAGCCCTATCAAATAAAAAGGACAATACTCAAACTGAATTAGAGAATGAGAATTGTCGAGGTTTCTTTTAATTTAGATCAATGCCAGTTTTACTCTTCTTCTAGAGTCCTTTTTAAGGAGATATCATCCCCACCAGTTGTGATCCCAGAGAATCACAACAGGGCATGGCGTAGGAAAGACCTCGAAGCTCAATTCTCTATTATACCATGCCCACCATACGAAAGGCATTTAACCTCCCGCGTGATTTTGTCCTTAAGATGCTCCACAAGATCTAACACAACTCCTACATCTAAGAGTCGACTCACTAATTTCAAGGGTTTTTGTTTTTGTTTTTGTTTTTATAAGCTCTGCGTGTGGCACCCGATAACTTCAAGTTTAGAGTGAGCAGTTTCCTCCCAATGCCGTTTGCTCAACTACAGTACTAGGAGTTTTGAGGAGCAGCTCTCTAGCGAGTCCTCCTGCTGCGTCCTCCCCCACACGCACGCACCAAGTTCCACAGCTTCCGCAGCCGTCGGGGAACAAAGTCCTTATTTGGTCACGGCCATCCCCTTACATAGTGGAGGTGGAGATCCTCCTCTCCAAGGACCACCCGCGTAGGGCGAGATTCCCCAATTCTGACTTTTCACTACTATCCCCCACAGGGGCGGGGCTCCAACTCCAGGTAACCAGACCAGGCAACCTGGACTTCCAATTAGCAGGGGAGTCCCCAAGCCAGCCTGGCCAATCTCGGCCGGCTAGCCAAGACGACCAGACGTGACGTCAGACATGATTAAGTTGGCGCGTCACCTAGACGTCAGCCTCTTACCTCTCGGACGTCCCGTCCCAGGAGCAAAACTCTAGTGACTTTGGGCCCGCCCCCGTGAGAGTGGAGGGCGGCCGATGAGGGCGGTTCTGAAGGGAACAAGACCAATGAGACGAGCCCGGGGCGGGGCGCGGGGCCGGAGGGTGGGGCGGGTGGCGGCGGTGGCAGTCCGAGGTCTGGCTCCGCGCAGTATATGACAGTACGTCAGCAGCGGGATGGCCCTAGCAGTGGCGGCGGCTGCAGAAGCCCAAGCAGCCGCGGCCGCAGTGGAGGCTAGAGCCGGAGCGGCGGCGGCGGCGGCACCCCGGGGAGTTTAAGATGGCGGCGGGGGGGACAGGGGGCCTGCGGGAGGAGCAGCGCTATGGGCTGTCGTGCGGACGGCTGGGGCAGGACAACATCACCGTACTGCATGTGAAGCTCACCGAGACGGCGATCCGGGCGCTCGAGACTTACCAGAGCCACAAGGTGAGCGGGCCGGCCGGCAGGCTGGGCTCAGAGAGGCAGAGCGCACCCCTCACGGCCTGGCCGCGCCCGGGTGCGGGGCCGGCGGAGCCGTGGCTGGCAGCTGCTACCGTCAGCGCCCGCAGCGGCCAGGCAGGGCAGGGCCGGGCAGGGTGGCTGACGCCGCGGTCCCGGGCTAGCCTGGGCGTTGGGGAAGCGGGCAGTCGGGCGGCCCCTGGCGGCGGGGCCGAGGCAGCCGCAGCCCTGGGTCGGCTGCGCTGCCGCTGCGGGACTTTCCGACGGCCCCCGAGGATTTCCTGGCTTGTTGGGTCCCAAGGAGGGAGAGAGGCCCCGATAAGAGAAGTGAGATGACCACGCTACCCTCGGCGGGGAAGGAGGGTAGCGAGCAGCGTATGGGCAAGGAACCAGGGACGACTCGCGGGCACCAGCTGCCCGCGTTTTCCAGTTACATAGGCACGGTGGATCCTCAGAGACAGGACACAGGCGCTCCGCGTGTGGGGGTGGGACCTTGTATTCCCAGGGACTTGGGGACACAGGCGCTCCACGTATCAGGGGACACACTGTGTGCTCGAAGGGATGGGGACTCGGGCGCATGGTGAGGGGCACACGGTGTACTCATAGAGATAGGGACTTAGGCAGTCCGTGTAAGGGGGCGGCGCACACTGGAACGGCGGGGACACTGGCGCTTCGCGTACGGGGGGGGAGGGGACACACCTGCATTCCCAGGGACTCCGGGACACCGGCGCATCGCGTTACTGGAGACGCGCCGCGTCCAGGACGGACACAAACCAACACAGTGCCCTGGGGAGAGACCTGAGGACTCACGCACACTTAGCGCTCCCCGGGAGCAAGACATCGGGTTCTGGAGAGAGAGGTTCACGGACGCTCAACGTACCCGAAAAAGCTCCCGGCGTCTTGGGCTGACTCTGGGAAGTGTAAACGGGGAACGAGCCAGAGCCAGAAGGTGTGGGGAGGATACAATGCATCCCGGGCAGAGACTCGGGCCTCTCACCCCTCGTTTTCGAGAGAAGCCCATGGACACACACACACACATATACACACACACCCCTCCAGTACAGAGAGAGGCTCAGATAGGCGCACATACACTGTAATTGGACTACAAATCCAGACGCTTTCATGTTGGAAAAAAAATGGGAGAGACAGGGAAGCACCGAGAAGGGACGCGGTAACCAGGGTGCATGGGGAAACAGTTTATGGACATGCAGTACTGTGGGAGACCGGAGTGGATACATCGCGTGAGGGAGGGATATGCCATATGGGGGAACCTGTAACGTTTTACAGGAGAGGAGAGAGTCGGAAGGGAGATAGAACCCACGGGGCATCTTACAAATAGCCCGTTCGGTACTGAGGAACACACTCCAACCGGTCTCGTACAACAGACAGAGGGGCAGAAGGACACCGAGACACAGATTCACATAGTTATTCAGCTAAAAGTGGGGAAAAGAATTGACATCTGTTGAGCTCCCACTAGTGCCAGGCACTTTAAATACATAGAGCGAAGGCAGAGTCTGAGGCAGAGCGGCAGGAGAGGTGTGAACCCTGGTTTACTGGGAGTGTATTCAGAGAGCCCCCCCACCCCATAAGTGTGCACACAGAGGAAGGCATTAGTTGTGCACGCTTTGGATAGAAAATGAACTCACATGATAGGGTATTTGTAAACAGCAGTGGAGGCTCAGAGGTGAGTGTATTGTTAGGAAGGTACTCACAGAATTGGGTGGACACATGAATGTACGTGCTAGGACACTTGTGTTACTAACCAGAGAAGCATATGGTGAAAAGGACTCACAGACTTTGTGTGGTGGGGTGAGGGGGCGTCAGGGAGGAGTGCATGCACAGGGAGAAAGGTACCGTCCTACATACAGTGAAATCTCGAGAGAAAATCTCAAGAATGGCTGGGAGAGATACAAGAAATAGAAAACTGCATGTGCCAATAGCTACTCTTAGATAGGTGCACCTGCAGTGAAGAGACCAGCATCAGACGGAGTGGGAGGCCCATATGGGGGAAGCCAGAAACACAGGCAGAGGGACAGAAGCAGACAGTGGAGAGAAACTCTGGAGAGAAACTCAGCCTTGCAAGATGGAAAGATAAGCTTGCCTGTTCCAAGGGAAGGGCGTGGGAAGGAATGGCAGTGGGAAGAAGGTAGGTCTGGGGATGTGAAGAGAAAACCCAGAGGCCCAGAGAAAAAGAAGTCAGCAGGAGGCGGCCAGCCCCTATTCAGGAGCAGACCCGAGGAGCAGAGAAAGACTTGACACACAGTGGGTGGGAAGAGGCATCTCTGGGGGCAGTAGGTCAGCCAGCTACCTTGGGAAAACAACAGGCAACTGTACAGTTGATTACAGCAAGATTGACAGTGTACACTTGTGGGGAAAGTGGGCAGATGAGGAGGTCCACTTGGGGAAGGGAAAGCGAAGTGACAGTAATTGGTCATGATCTGCATGACCACTGGAGGCCCCAGAAGGGAGTGCTTTGTTTTCCTACCTTTGTATGGCCTTCATTTCTGCTTCCTATACCCTAGTGTTTTCATATTTGGGATTAAGTTTACAGTGCTCTAAAAGCCCCTGCATTTATATACCAGTAGCTTCCAGGAGACAGAAGATCAAAAATTCTTTCTCTGCCAACCCACCACTTAGTTCTTAATTTAAAAAAAAAAAATTACTTTTTAAGAGGTACCAAAGTCGTCAATGTCTTTGTTTGCTTCTGACTGCTTCTAGTACTTTTTCCATTTCTGTACATGCCCATTTATGGGTCTGGTTGGTCTCTACAGAGGCAGCAAAGGGAAAGGAGGAAGACTTTTTCCCAGATCTCTCTACCTTAAAGCATGGAGCCAAGTAGCTTGTATTAGTCCTAGGATTCCTTTTCTCCTGCAAAACTGGTGGTAGAAACAGTGGCATGCGGGGGATGGTACATAAGCTGACCATCCTTAACCAGCTCCTATCAGGACTCACTGTCAGCTCAGCCATGGAAACACTTTTTAAGGGGTGTGGACAAGCAAGCAGGAATTGGAGTGAAACTGTCAACCTCAGTTGGATGAAAACTGGGAAGAAACCAAAAAAATGAGATAGATACCTTTCTGGTGACTGAATGTACCGTTGGTACTTACTGCAGGCTCCACCCACCTGTGTGTCCTCAGTGCCCCTCCTCCTGACTCAGCCAGACCAGTGTACCTCTATGGGCACAGTAAGAGTTGCTAGCAGTAGGCATCTGGCTGAGCTTTTATCCTCCAGTGGAAGGATATTAATTTGGTCTTTCTTGTCTTCCATCGTTATTAGAAATAGGGCTCATGACTTTAAATTGAAGCTGCTGTTTGGGAACATGTTCACATGGATTGGCTAATTGGGAAGAGGTTTCTAGTGGTCAAACCTGTTCTCTCTGGGGGGAAAATGGTTTTAATTTCTCATATAAAACTGTCCGCCACCATTCCTGTACTCATATAGGAGGGTACTTGATGGCAGGTAGCCTCTAAGCAGCTCTGGCCTATGTAAAGTGATGACTATTACTCCTTCTCTTCTAATGACTAAGAGCCAGAAATTTCAACAGGTTAATTTGCTAAATTAAGCATCAGAGAATTCTTTTTTTGTCCAAATTATTTTGTCTATTGGAGTTACCCTTCTAAATTAACCCACTTTGACGTAAGGCTTCAGAGAAGTGAATTTAAAAATTTTAGGAAGCTATGATTTAGGCAGAACAGAGAACTTCTTTAGATGTAATTGAGCAAATTTACAGCGTTCTAAGGGTTTGTGGAAACAGAATATTTGATGAAAATTTTGAAATCTTGTTTTTTTTCAAATTACAATTCCTCACTGTTTCAAAAGACACATAATCCTACTTGACCTTCATTATTCAGGTTCCCTATTTTTAGAGAAGTGATCTTGGGAGCCTTTCTAAACAGGCAGAGGGGCATTGTGAGTCCAGCAATGAGAGTTATAGTTGGAGTAAATATCTTGTAAAAGTTGTTTTGCTACTCACTTTGAATACAGAAATGGTTTCAAGTTGATTGTGTATCATGTTAACTGGAAAGTTATTTTCATGATTGGCAGAAAAATTTAGACATGATAATACAGATATCTACAATATTAACCTTTTAAAATGTAGATTATTTTGAATGAGGAGAAAAGTTGCTAAATAAATAAAATCACAAATTACAACTTTATAGTCATTTTAAATTGTTATCTGTGATTGTGTGGTCTACATAAGCTCTACATATTTTAAATGAGCATATATTACTGTAATTACATATTTCCCCCAAATGGAAAACTATATTTAAAATTAAAATCCAACATTTAAAAATACATTTTAGCTAGGTTCCTCAGTAATGCTGCTGGCTTTATTTTGATGTTTGAGTAACTTACTTTTATAACAAAAACTATATCAAAGCATTATTTTCAGATTTTGTTGCTGAGCCTGTCAGTTTAGTTTTTAAAAAATGTTTACTCAAAGTTTCAAAGGTGGTGGCTCAAATAATACTACCATGTTTGCTGACTATTACATAAACAGTCTTGCATAGTTGTGTTTGGGGGCAGGGGCTACTCCTGCTCTATCCCTGAAGATCAGAAAGCAGATGCCTTTAAGTGGGATTCTGCTAACACTTTCTCTTGTCAACTCCATTGGATTGAAATACATTTTTCTGCCTTTGTTAGTGTCTTCTAGGAAAGTGATAATGTTTTTAAAATTTGTACATATATATTGCCATTTAATTTTTCATAATTTTAGATGCTATTTACAAAGCATAAGTTCTTATTTAAGCCTCCAAAATTATTGTCCTTCATAGTAGCTCCCTTCAATGTGTTACTTGACCTTTTGTTAAATCACTGAGTCCATAGGTCAGAGGGTAAGTGACTTCCTTGCCTTATCCTTTTTTTCTACCAGGTGAACTTTTTAGCATTTGATTCATTATAGTTTAAGACACAGAAAAGACTCATACTCTGCTTTTTTCTCTTTCTTTTTTTGCCTGCCCATATTTTGTATGTGTTTTCAATAATCTGCCTTATAAATGCAGAAGACTGTTCTTAAGCCACCACTTGAGCATCCAGACCTGCCAGCACAGCACTGCCACCACTGTTGGACATGTTTATTAAGTAAAACAGTGAGGTTTGCTTTAGCAGATTCTATTTGCTCCACTTTTAAAATGTAGCCAAGTTTAATTTAAATAAATTAATCCTACTGACTTTTAACTTAGACCCATTTTCAGTCTGTGCTTGATTTTAAAATGCTTTTTATCAAGTAAAGTCAAGTTTGTGCCCCATCCTTCAGTGTTTGGAAAGTTTATTCAGATGCCCAGTTGCTCAATGCAACGGAGGGTGTTCCTCCCTGAGAAAAGTAGTAGCCAGATTGCCTAAAAAGATAGACAGGGAAGCTTGGCACCAGAATTGGGAAGAGAAAGAAAGAACATATGTGAAGGATTGGAACATGTTCAAGAAAAGAATTTAAAAGGAAAGGGGCGTAGAATTCTTGGAATGACTTACAGAAAAGCTTACCAAGGACAATCACCAGATTCAGCCTTTCCATTTGCTCCATTTGCACTTGTGAAAAATTACAGAAGCTGTGTTCATAAGGCTTATTAGGTAATTGGTGATAAAGCCAGCAGAGAGAGGAAAATGAGAATTTCAGCTGAACTAAGGCTAGGTCACTTTTAACAATTTGTGATGACCCTTTTCTCTGCAACAGAGAAGCTTAGGAGCCCGGCACTAGATCCAGCCCACCATTTGCTAGATTGGGCCAAATGTATTTTAGATTGTTTGAGAAAATGTCCCTAAAATGTGATATTATGGACATTCCTACACTGAAGATGAACTAAGTCTTACAATAAAGAAAACAACATGTATATAACCCAACATCTGACTGTCCTGCATACCTCAGCTCCATACAGAATTTCCTATAACTTATGCACAAATTTACCGCAGTTCTGGAGTAGAATATAATAAATTAATGTCCATGTCTTTAGAGCAAATTAAAGCTGGAAAACACAGCATAACTCGGGTCAGGTTACCAGCGAGGATTGCTATCTCTGTCTTTTTTTATCTCCTTCCTTCTTTCCTTCCTTCCTATTTTTTTCTGTGGCAGTACTATGGCTCTTGAGAGCCAATGTTAAATCTTCAGGAAGAACTGGTTTAAGAGTTGCCACTAATACTTTGCCAGCAAAGACCAAAACTGGCATTTGCATGGTTTAATTCAGGATATAAGAAAAGGGAATTTTATTAATTAAGCTATAAGCTCCTTGAAGATTCATGAATAAAATTATCACCTTGAATTGACCTCTACAGAAAGGGCATTTGGCTGCTGGTTTCATAGTAACTAGATTGTTAAACAAATGGCATGAGTTTCTTTCCTTCACAGGGATCCTATATGTTATTGGTCTAAAATCCTTGGGTCTTAAAGGATTTTAGCAAGATTTTAGCAGACAGAAACTGGATGGGGACCACATCTCCAGCAGAAACAATGGCATAGGTAAGCAAAGAAGAGTGGTAGCTAGGGCAAGCTCCAAGAATTGCCATAAAGACCCTGTTCTGCTTAACATGAAGGGCAAGAGAAAAATGTAGTTGAGTTTAAGAGAGAAAAAGTAGGTCAGAGCAGATTCATTACCTTACTAAGAAGTTTGGATTTTATTCTGTAAACAGAGTAGAAATATAAGGTAATTTGATCTACGTTTTAGGATTATTCTGGCCCTGGTGTGCAGGATGACTATAATGTGAATCTGGAAGGAGATAGACAAGTTAGGAAGAAGTTTGTGGTCCAGGCCAGAGATAACTGGAGTCCACCCTAGGGTGTTGGTGGGAGAGGTAGGAGATGAATAGAGTCTATAGAATTTAACAAGATATTGGCCGGGCGCAGTGGCTCATGCCTGTAATCCCAGCACTTTGGGAGGCCTAGGCGGGCGCATCACGAGGTCAGGAAATCGAGACCATCCTGGCTAACACGGTGAAACCCTGTCTCTACTAAAATACAAAAAAAAAAAAAAAAAAGAAAAAAAAAAAAGAAAAGAAAATTAGCCAGGCGTGGTGGCAGGCGCCTGTAGTCCCAGCTACTCAGGAGGCTGAGGCAGGAGAATGGTGTGAACCCGGGAGGCAGAGCTTGCAGTGAGCCAACATCGCACCACTGCACTCCAGCCTGGGCGACAGAGCAAGACTCTGTCTTAAAAAAAAAAAAAAAAAAAAAGAATAATTTAACAAGATATTTTAAAGAAGCAGGATTGAATTGAGATTTCTAGCCATTGGCACTAGGAGGAGTACCCCTAATAGAAAAAGGGAAATTGGAAGCAGTTGGGAGAGTGGAGTTGGGGGTAGGAGAGATAAAGATGTGAGTGATATTTTGGTGAACATTCACTCAGTCTTTTAGTTGATAATGAAAAGACTTGGGTTTGATTAGATGTTTTATATTTGTGAAGTATATTCAGGAGTTTGAGGCAGACAGATATATAAAACAGTGCTGTATTACTTAACATGTCTTATATAAACTGTTTTATTTGGATGGAAATTTTGGAGATTGTTGACGTTTTGAGGAAAGTTGAAATTCTTTGGGAAAAAAATTTGGTTTTGAGCAGGGCATTTTAAATTTTGTTTGTATTTTTATAGACTTTCTTTATTGAATAACGTCTATAAATTGTACTTAAGGCCATCATAAAGCACTGATAATATGAAATCTAATTTTATTTTAACATGGAAATCAGACCTTCTGTGGTTTCTGTCCTATTGATTAATGAAACGTAAGTAACTCTATATAACGTTCCTGGATTTACATTTCAAGTTTTATTTTGAAATAGTGTAATTCCTAAAGTCCTTGAAGGAGTGCTTTCAATTACCTCACATTACCTCTATTTCTGTTTTGGTGTTTTGATTCCTTTATTTCTTTTTTATTGGCAGTTCCTTATGAAAAACAAAAGAATCATGAGTGCATAAAACTTTTGCTATACATACACATTGTAATGGACTATTATGAGCGCTTGTTTCTTGATCCAGGGAGATAACCTAGTCTGGAAGACTTTTTCACTCAACTGTGAGCTTATTCAAGGGTGTAGCCAGGCTTGAACTTTCTTATAAGATTCACAGAGATACTTTAAGACTTAAATATGCTTAGCTAGAAACAAGTATTAGCATATTTTAAGATAACATTTAATATCATTGCTTTTGGCTCCATTATTAGAAACCATGATACCTCAAGAGCCAGAAAAAGTGTCCATGTAATAAAAAGTCAGCTGAGTATCTTAAGATGTTTTTTCTTTAATAAAAAGTTAAGAGGTAGAGTTAAACTACCAAATATTCGTTTGTTCACTCAGCAAACATGTATTTATCTTCTGACATTTGCCAGGGATAGAACTAGGCATTGGAGATAGAAAGCTGAATAAGTCATGAATGGTCCCTGCCAAGAAAGTGCTTGTCATTTTAGTAGAAGCAGGCAAATGTGAAAAAAAATGAACACTATAAAGTCTGTGTTCAAAGAGATGTCTTCTTTACCTGCCATCCTCTGCTCAGCCCGTTGTTTCCACCACACCCGTGAGGTTATACCTGCCAAGGTCCCTGTTAAAATCCGGTGGTCATCTCTTTGTTTCCATCTTACCAGACCTCAGTGGTATTCCATTCTCTTGACCACTTCTTCCTATTAGAAACACTTTCCTGATTTTCCTCCTACCTCTCTGCCTATTCTTTCTCATTCTCCTTTGCCTACTTTCCTCTGTTTGACTGGCCTCTGAATGTTGGAGGTCTCTATCTCTTCTCTTTATCTGTTCAGTCTCCCTAGGTGAGTTCATTTAGTCCTTTGAATTTAAATGTCATCTATACATTAATGACTCCCAAATATTTATCTCCAGATCTATCCTTTTCTCTAGCTCCAAGTACTGATTTCCAATATACTTCCTCATCAAAGTTTAATAGATATCTCAAACCTTACATATCCAAACTGTGTTTTATACCCTTTTAGGAGTTTTTCTCAAGGGTATGGCTAATCATTGCAAGGAGAAAACTATCTTCTGACAATCAACTATTTCAATAAGTACAGACATAAAGGAAATTATAAAAGTGTTACCTGATTTTGTTATTATAAAAGATCCTCTCCTTTGTTGATATGAGATTCCATGAGGGATCAAGTAAGATTTTTTTTTTAACTTTTATTTTAGGTTCGGGGTATGTGTACAGATTTGTTATGTAGGTAAATTGCATGTCATGGGGGTTTGGTGTACAGATTATTTCATCACCCAGGTAATAAGCATAGTACCCAATAGGTAGTTTTTTGATCCTCACCCTCCTTCCACCCTCCACCCTCAAAGTAGGCCCTAGTGTCTGTTATTCCCCTCTTTATGTCCATGCGTACTCAATGTTTAGCTCTCACTTATAAATGCAAACATACAGTATTTGTTTTTTTGTTCCTGTGTTAGTTTGCATAGGGTAATGGCCTCCAGCTCCATCTATGTTGCTGCAAAGGACATGATCTCATTCTTTTTCGTTGCTGTGTTGTATTCCATGGTATATATGTACCACCTTTTCTTAATCCAGTCTACCTTTGATGGGCATTTAGGTTGATTCCATATCTTCGCTGTTTCTAAAAATAACTCGTGATTTTACTCCTCAAATCTCTATCTACCTAAGTGTTCCCTATCTCAGTAAGTGGCAGAACTCTCTATCAAATTGCCTAGAAATTGACTAGCAACCCTTGATTTGTCTCCTGTTTTCTTGACATATTTGATCTATCAGCAAGTACTGTCACCTTCAAAATATCCTGAATCTAACCCCACCCATTACTGCTATTCCAGTCCCAGTTACCATCATCTCTCCTCAGGATCACTGCCATAAACTTCGAGGTGGCCTTCAAGTTTCTACCCTTCCCCCATAATCCACAGCAGCTAGAGTGATCTTTTCAGAACATTAAATATGATCAAGTAGTCTCCCAGTTTCAAGTCCCCAATGGCTCCCTTTGTAAAAAATGTTTTAGATGCCACATTTTATTAATTTCTAGTTTTAAAAAAAAAAACTTCATCTTCCAATCTAAGCTTATTTTACCACTTCTCCTTATACTTCTGCTTTAGAGTTCATGATCCCAGGAAACAAATCTTTATTTGCATTTACAGTCAGATTTGACATATAAGCTAATTATACAATTATAAGGCCCACATTAAATCTGGGGGAAAAAATGGTGGAATACTATGCTTCAAGTGTTGTTGATTTATTTATTTATTTATTTATTTATTTTATTTTATTTTTGAGACGGAGTCTCGCTCTGTCCCCCAGGCTGGAGTGCAGTGGCACAATCTCGGCTTACTGCAAGCTCCACCTCCTGGGTTCACGTCATTCTCCTGCCTCAGCCTCCCAAGTAGCTGGGGCTACAGGCGCCCACCACCACGCCTGGCTAATTTTTTGTATTTTTAGTAGAAACAGGGTTTCACCATGTTAGCCAGGATGGTCTCGATATCCTGACCTTGTGATCCACCCACGTCGGCCTCCCAAAGTGCTGGGATTACAGGTGTGAGCCACCATGCCTGGCCAAGTGTTGTTGATTTAAAGGCTGGTTCACAGTAACTAACTTTTTGGCTGGTTGTTTGGTTTAGATTTTTGCCTTCCATGTTCAAGAGCTATTTGAAATCCTAAGATTTAAGACAACCATATATATGAAGATTTTATATATATATATATATATATATATATATATATATATATATATATATATACACATACATACATACATATATATATATAAATAAAACTTGGCATGTATCAGATAGCCACCATTTTCTAGAAGCTATCTTTCAAAACAAGGATTGTGCTAAATAGATGTTGGTTTTGATAATCCCTTATATTTCACTCTTTCCATGCTGTAGTGGCTAGAAAGAAATTATTCTTTACTTCATATGTTCTTTAATCTGGTTCTTCCAAATCTGCAGAAAAGGAATTTCTTTTGAATCTAAGGTTACATTGACTCACAGGGAAAAATACTAGATTGGTTTTGTGAAGCTTAATGACTTTCTTTTTGGCATCTAATAAAAGGTTTGAGGCAAAGAAGGAGATACCATTTTTTAAAGTAGTTTTGGATTATTTCTAAATTTCATATCATGTATTATTCTAAGCATATTATTGGCTTTTAACAAGAGCTGAGTGTATTTTATTTCTTCAGGATCAACTGTCTGATTTCTTGTGCTATTTTCTGCTTTTAACTCCAATTTTCTTTCTTCCTCCTCTCTCCTTGCCTAGACATTTTTTATTACAGTGGTTAAAATATAATTATTAAATAGTCTTCTTTGGGTTCTCTATCAGATGATGTCTTAAAGAACAAAGAAAAAAGTGACTCTTGAACAAAAGAATCATTACTACCAGTTCTTAAATAGCATAGGGGGAAAGAAAGATGATCTATTTTATCCAAGTTGCATCCCAGGGAAAAGCATGTCTACTTATTTACTTTTTACTAGTGCAAGTAAAAACAAGTTCTCAAATTGTCTGGTATTTTCCTTCTGCCATAGTGCAAAACCAAAAAAGTGATTCTTAATTCTCTGGCTTTCAGTTTCAAATTTCATATTACTATTGTTGAAGAGGGGCAGGAAAGACTAACTATATAAAATGCTGAATAAGAGCACAGTTCTGAGCCCCAGGTCACTTATTAGCCATGTAGCCTTCAGTAATTCACAGAACTTACCTGAGAAATGAGAATAATAGTATCTACCCCACAAGGGTGCTTCTGAGAATTCCCAGAGGTGGTAGTAAAAATGGATAGTGCCTGACACATTGTAAACGCTCAAATAGTAACTGGTTAGCTAAAACTGTTTCTTTAAACAATCCACTTTAAGTACTCACTTGAACCATCACCACTTATAGAAAGTTTTTTTGTTTTGGGCAAAGTTCCAAAATTATATTTGACATTGGAATTTTTTTTTTTTTTTTGCAGTATCTTTATCATGGCTTATAATGCAGCTTAGATACAAAGGTAGATACCAAGTATTTAATAAATACTTGCTGATTGATTTCAAATAATTTAAGAATTCTTGAATTAAGTAAAGAATAATTCAAGAGTTAACCTTTAGTTAACTCAAAGTTCCATGATGGGTTCAAAAGGGAAGCTAAAGGTGTCTCAAAAACATCTCTAACCTTAAAGAATAAAGTTGGAAAGATCTCTATAATATTTTTTAGAAATATTGTTATTTTCTAGGCCCAGAATGCTATTTCTTGCTTGTATATTTGTAAAACTGACAGTTGTTGATAAGGGAAAGGTAACCACACATTTAATTTGTTTACATGGGTAAGCAATATGTAAATAATCAAGAGATGGTTATAAACTACCTTTATAGGATAACTTTTTTATTCAACTCCAAAAAAACAGCTGTGCTCTTCTCCCACCCCAAAGGAATCATGTCAGAATTAATATTCCTTAGGAAAATGAATATTTCTTAGGAAAATGACTCAGTAAATTATATATTACTTTTATAGTTCTGATATATTGTGAGGAATAGTCCCTGGAAATAAGTGTACATAGATCTCTTTGGTCATAGAGCAATTCTTGTTGCAGTAGCATTGGCTTGTAAATGCAGATGTCAAGAGTATAACCAAACTTAAGAGCATTTTAGCATTGCCTATACTACTATTCTGTGCTTAGGAATGCCCAACATTTCATAAGAGGTATAAAGGGTAAATTCAAGGAGCTTCTAAGAGCAGTGAAAGTACTAAAATTTGACAGAATCTTTTGACTGCAAACCATCACTTTTATCAGGTTGTTGAAGGAGTTTCCCTAGCCAATTACAATCTGCCTTTGTGTTCTTGGTTGGAAATAGATACAAGATAACTCTCTTACTTATAGCTCAAATACTATTCCCTTAAGCCCTAGAGTAACTTGATTTTCAGAAGAGCTACTTGGTGAAAATATTTACTTAAAGCTAAAAGCAAAAGTTGAAGCCTTACCTGAAACTCATTTCTAATGGGAATGTATTCAGCAAATGTTTAAAGATACAATGAGTTGAGGTCATGTTTATACAATTAAACTTAGGCTAAAAAAATTTGGATAAAAAACTAACATGCTTTAGACATTTGCTTATAATGGTATTGACTTCTAAACTTTTTCCTGGTGGCTCTCTTAATAACACAGTGAGTGATCAGATACAAAATAAGTGGTGTAGAGTTCTGTTTCTTCCTGTGGCTTTTTTTTTTTTTTTTTTTTTTTTGAGGCGGAGTCTCGCTCTGTTGCCCAGGCTGGAGTGCTGTGGCGCCATCTCGGCTCACTGCAAGCTCCGCCTCCCGGGTTCACGCCATTCTCCTGCCTCAGCCTCCCGAGTAGCTGCGATTACAGGTGCCCACACCACACCCGGCTAATTTTTCGTTTTTTTAGTAGAGACGGGGTTTCACCATGTTAGCCAGGATGGTCTCTATCTCCTGACCTCTTGATCCGCCCAGCCTCCCAAAGTGCTGGGATTACAGGCGTGAGCAACCACGCCCGGCCTTATGGCATTTTTAAAAACATTCAAGAGCTGCAGCCTAGTTAACATGTTCTTTTCTAAAATTGGGATTAAAATCAGTAAAGCCTTTGAGGTTCTTTTAAGTATTTTTCTAGATTGCTAGATATCTTAAAAGAATTTCTGAGTAACAATGAGCTTAGTTTGCCCTGTTTGGATAAGTACATACAACTATTCCATAAATGAGTGTTTTATTATGTATTAAATAAAATGGTAACAAATATTTATGTTCTTTCACTATACATCATCCTTAAAGGAAAAAAAAACTATTTTTTTCAGTTTTTAATCAGAAACTGAACTAAATTATACTTTAGTTTTTTTGGAAATTATAATTACTTTATGAAATTCATTTTCCTTGGAAACAAAATGCCAAAAGAACTGAGTGAACATTTAAGGTCTTTTAAATATTTAGCACTAGGGGGTAACACATTTCAGAGGCAAGAGAGAAAGAAAGAGTACTGTATTTGGAATTCAGAGGACTGGATTTAAGGCCCAACTCTGCTAATCACCAGGTCTGTGATCCTAAGCGATGTACTCTACCTCTTAGAGACTCATTATTTATTCTGTCTCTGAAATGGGGGATAATGATGCTTTCCTACCACCCAGGGCTGGTTTTAGGAGGCTCACTTGAGACGATAGATATAAAAATGCTCTGTGCCATACATTAGAAAACTAAATAAAAATTATTCTTGTTGAGGAGTCAAGCTGTATAGGTAGAACTATAAGCATGTCAAGAAGTCAAGTTCTAAATTCAGGGCGTGAGGTAAAAAAAGATTGTATATAGTCAAAATTTCAAGTTTCTAAATTGTTGTGAAGAATAGTACATATTGTCTTGTCTGTACAACCCTGAATAGTAATCTGCATATGTGTACAGTGTGTATAGTGGTATACTTCATATATAAAGAGAACATATACAAAATGATTTTACAATACTTTTTTTTTTTAGCTGAGCACGTAATACTTGTAAGTTACATATGCCTAAGACTCCTGTATCATAACAATCAGGAATAAGACAACCTATGAAAAAATATACCTTATGTAGTGGAACAGTAGATGCTGGGATCTGAACAAACAGCTAATGAGATTTAACTCATAGTTACATAGTTCCAAGTTAGCAAAATGGTGGCACCAGAGTTTTGTTTGGCTAGAAACAGGTTTAACATTTTTAAATTTGGATTTTTTTCCTTTGGGCATTCATTTTCCAGGTACTCACCACTCCTTGTTGCCTTACATCCATCTGTTCCAAAGACCTTTGGGTCTTTGAAGACATTGAAACATTGAGTGTTTGACTTCTGGTTTATCCAAAGGAAGGTCTCACTGAGGAAATTAATGTTGAGCTTGAATGTTAAGTAAGCAATAACTATGGATTGGCAAAGTAGAGCTTGGGAATTTATGCCAGGTTGGAAGAACAGGAAAGAGTTAGAGAGGAAAGTCTTTGCAAAACAAACAAAGGTTAACATAGCTGAGCCATTGTTGGGAGGAAGTGGAAGATGAACTTGGTTGATTCTGGTTGATCTTGGTTGATAGCGGATGTGTTTTCTATTTAGTAGTTGGCTTTGTTTTGACAGACAGTGGTAAGAACTACTGTGGGCCAACAGTGGTATATGAGAGAGGTTCTGCTGGCTATTTGAACAATTTGGAAGGACTTCAAGGAAGGGAAAAAGCCATTGTCTAGTTGTGAGGTGATAAGGGTCTTGCTTTTGAAATGGAGACTAAGAACTTAATTTGAGGGAGTTTGGGGCAGAGTGGCCAGATTTGGTGACTGGGAGCCCTGGAGCCACGCTGGCATCATCTTTCTTTGGTGTCTGATATTCAAGCTTTCAGCACATCTTATCATTTTTCCTGGGGAATATCTGCTCTGTCCACTATCCCCTGTTAGCTGCAGATGCAGTCATACTAACTTAGGCCTTTATTACCACTTCCAGGGTATTTCTAAAGCATCCGCCCGGACTGCACTAGCTCACTTCTCCACCCCTGCCCTGCCCTGATCCATCTCTCTCCATCTATTTTACACATAACTGAAAGAGCTGCCTTCCCCCAAAACACTTCTTTGAGCAACTCTCTTATACAAAAAATTGAGAGAGCCTCCAATAGTTTATCAAGTTAAAGGCAAGAGTAAAACCCATCAGTGAGGGGTTAGGGAGGGGATTAGGGCAGGATTATTTCAGAGTGATAAACTTTTTGGACAGAGTCATCCTGAGGTCTGAAACTTAAATTATTGCCCTATTCTGTAGCAAATAGAAACTAAAAATGAAGACACATTTTGAGGATAAGGAAAAATTAGGCAGGAATTTACAGGTCAGATCTCATCCTTGCTGTTGTATTTCAAGTGGGAAAGAAGCGTACACATACAGACCTGCCCTCTGACCATACAGTGTCCATTCCTGTCTTCTTGCTTTTTTCCTCAGGGTATTCTCTCTCCTTGGAACTTACCTTTTCTAAACTGCTATTCAAGAGCCACCTTTTCAATAAACATTTATGTGTTCTAACCCGTACTGTCCTTTTTGAGAATTCTTACTACACTTCCCAGTGCTACTTAGCCTAGTACTTAATCATTCTCAAATTTTCCCCAACTAAAAGATGAACTCTCTGGCATGAGGGATTATGCCCCCACACTCTTGAATACCCCATTAACAGATGTGTGTGGAACATAAGGTAGTAGAAGAAAAGCAGCATGGCAAAATAGGGAGATTGAGTCTTGGGTTCTGATCCTGTGGGGCATAGGCGCCAACTGTATTATCTCTAAGGCCTCATCTGGATTTGGAATCCTGTGATTCTAGTGGCATGTAGTATGTAAACGACTAATAGAATATGAAGTCGGGGAGAGAAGAGACTGTAAGTTAATTTTAAGGTGGCGAGCCTGGATAACCAAGAGGATAAAAGTGCCTTTGCCAGAAAAGTAAGAAAGAGGTGACGGTTTGGTTGGGAAGGCTGGGGATGGGGGAATTAGTTTCATATTTGCCAGTCATTGAGATTTGCTGCCATTGTGAGTTTCTAATGCAAAATGTCCTATCAGCAGTAGTAAGTAGCAGGCTATGCAGAGGTGCCAGCTGAGGAATGGAGAAGAGATTCAGAGTTATCACCCAACAGGTTCAGTGAGCCTCCAGGATGAAATGGATCTAGAAAGAGGAAAGGAAAGGCACTAGCCTTTCGAAATGAAAGGTGTGATCAGAGAGCTGGGAGGACTGATGGATATCCAGTGGGGATATCAGCAATTTGAAAGCTGAGAAGTTTGCATTTATCTGACCAAGAAGAATCAATGAACTTGTTGGAGAGAGAATTTCAAATTTCATTGGTGAGCTGAAGACAACCTCTGAGTTGCCAGAATTCAAGGAGGGAAGTGTAATGAGGGAAGTGTAATGAGGTTATGTTCAGTGCTTCTGATTTGGAGAGACATTCAGAAAGCAGGACTGATGGAAATATTGTGAAAGCTGGAACATGAACCTGTATAATCTCAATTGTAGGGCCACCTTACTCTTCCACATGAAGAGGGGCTACCTAGGCCCCTATGGGCATGCTTTCATTACTTCAGGAAGAGTGAGTTTAGCTGTGGAAAGTAGTTTGGGGGTGGCATTTTTCGCCTTAAGAAAGTTAATCTATATTTATATTTTCATAAAAGACCATGAATTAGAATGAAAATCTACTAAAAAATTGGATTTTAAAAATTCAGGTACTACCTTTTTATTTTTCCTTTTTAAAAAGCTCACTTCTCCCACACCAATAAATGAATTTGTTACCCAGTAGTACTTAGATTCTGCTGATAAGTCTAAAGTTAAATGATCTTTTATGGTAGTAGAACAGTAACAGTATCCATTATAATGTTTTCTCCAAGAAGATATTTGTTTATTCATTTTTATCAATAATAATAAGATAGCTAATGTTACACTTGATTTTACATTCAGGTGGTCTGTCTTTTAAAGAAGTTCTTATCTTTATTTCTCTTTCTCTTTCATTTATTATAATCCCTATTAGTAAACTTTTAAGTCTGCAGAGAAGTTTTGGGAAGCATTTGGAAGTAGTAGGTGATGTGCTATAGCTGAGGTGAGGAACATATTAGTGCCTCTATATTTTTATTTGGGGTAGAGATGAGACCAGAAACCACTGTTTTTGTACATTGGATTTGAATATGAAGGTGTGAATAGTTTATAGGCTGATGTACTACCATTAAACATTACCCAAATCTGATTTCTTCGTGGGTTTCTGTTGGCAATTTGGAAAAGCTTTCCCATAGAAAAATATGCTGGTGACTTTGAATACAGGAAATCATGCAAAAGACTATGGCTGACATTTATGATAACAGCTTTTCTTCTAAATGCACAACTCTATGATAAAATATTGAAGTTATCAAGAAGAAAAAGCTCATAATAAAAAACACTGATCTAGAAATTACATTCTCCTGGTGAGAATCATGTGAGAGAACTGGTAACCTGTTTGGCTCTCAATTAAAAACAAATCTCTGATAAAATGTGAGAAAATAGCAAACAGGTTTATTCTCAAATATTTAATTTTATATTTCTAGCATCCTGTTACAGTATTGCAAAGTTCCTCCAATTATCTCTTCCCTCCTCCCACCCCTATTAAAAATATACCAGGAAACTATGCAACAATACAGTTTTTTTAATGTAAAATTGAATTGGTATACTAACCATTTTTTGCCAAATCATGTTGGTCAGTTTCAAAAACATGATTAGCTGCACTGCCAAAAAATATATTTTGTTTGTGTGGTTCAGAGAGAAATGTAAATAGTGTGATATGGTTCATCCAAGGCATCTTAATATAGTAACATGCAAAAGAAAGTATATAATGAAAAGAGATTTTCACACATTATGACACTGACCAAATACATATATTTCTTTCTTTCTTTTTTTTTTTTTTAAATAGAGATGGAGGGGGAGGTCTCACTGTATTGCCCAGGCTGGTCTTGAACTCCTGGCCTCAAGTGATCCTCCTGCTTCAGCCTCCCAAAGTGCTGGGATTAGAGTCATGAGTCACTGTGCCTGGCCCAAATAACATAGATTTAAAGTTTAAACATTTAGTTCTATGTCACAGTAACCAAGGTTTACCTGTTTGTTTCTTTTGTTTCTTTTAATAGAATTTAATTCCTTTTCGACCTTCAATCCAGTTCCAAGGACTCCACGGGGTGAGTACTCTTATTGATTTAACAAACAAATCTAATGTTCTTGCACGCTATTCAACTTTTAAAATCCGTTTTCAGTTGACCCTTTTATTATAATCAGCCACTCATTCTGTGAGCTTTGTGACTAAATGAAAATTTCTGACATCTTTAAGATGCTTGAATTATCTTATTTTATTAACTTACTTTTAAAAAATTCATATATGGTTATTGATATTGACAGTGTTTTTTTATCCATAACATGGATAATTGCATGTTTGAACCTTTTTATTGAAGTATAACGTACATCAAGGTATTATGTGAGTATGTATTATCACAGCTTAACATCCATACGGGATTATTTATTTCAGGCAAGTTATGATTGTAATTGCTTTTACTATTAACAAAATTTTGCTGTGTGTGCACTTTTTTAAGTTGTATATACCAGGAAATGAAATATGTAAGTAGAAATTGAGTTTTTCATATATACAGAATAAACAAAGTTTTCTGTGTATTTTATTACTGCATTTAAAAGCACAATAAATGATAATGCCTAATAAAATGGACTTATGAATTTTGTCTTTATGATAGATGATAAAGTTTACAGGAGTAGAATCAGTACTTTAAAATTATTACTATTAATATTTCATAGTAATAAAATAAATAGTAGACTCAATTATTCTTTTTGCTTCTTCATTTAAATTAATATGTATTCTATATTTGCCTCTATATATTAGCTATAAAATGGAAATTTGTAATATCCGTAAATGGATTTTTAGAGCTATAGAGAAAACATAAGCTGAGGGAGGAAGATTCTTGATTATTGTAAATCTACAGACTTCTGAATTTTTCTTATGTCACAAAATGCAAAAGTGTCAATTTAAATAAATAGTCTTTCTAACCTTTATAACTGGAAAACAGTTCAAGAGTCAGATTAATTACATCATTCAACACAGGCCAAGAGTACTTCTAAATGTGTTTTGTAATGCTTACTTGAAGGAGATGTTTGTGTGGATGTCAGAGTTTTGCTTCTACATGACAGCTTTACAATTAAGTCCTGTTTTCCTCTTCAGTGACTAAGTGTTCATGAATGGGATCCTAACTGGAATAAGTATTCTTCTGAATTTTGTTGTATAGCTTTTTAGTAGGTAGTCATTAGCACATGCTGATTTTCTATTTGAGGGCTTAGTTCAGGTGTTTATTTAAGGCTTCTTGAGTTTTCCTGCAAATTTTAATGGCAGCAATAATATCTGAAGAGATGTGCCAGGGTCAGGCCTAATTCTACCAGCCCTGGAGGGCTCCATGGATTTTCACTAAAGGATTATCTTGGGAGAAGAGGGCTAGAGGAAGAGTATAAGGTTTGAGCTGCATTTCTCTTACTAGGAGCAGTAGGGTTCTAGGGCTGATGCTTCCCTTAATTCTTTCTCCTGGGAAATGCAAGTAAAGGATATTTTCTAAGGAGGCATCAAGTTATGCCAAAACCCTAAATTATGGGGCACCAATATGTGCAGGCTTCCAAACTCTCCATTCTGACCCTTGCAGTTTTTAGCAGTCTAGGAGGGAGTATGGTTTTCTCTAGCATACTAGTTGCCCCTGGGCCCCAAGCAGCATTGCAAAGCAGGCAGTTTATATTTGAAATCTTAGACCACCTTTTCTAAATTTTCCTACCTATGTCCCCCTGTAGCTTTCCTGTTCCATGTGTCCAAGTGCCCTCAGTTTATCTTTGCCTGCTCTACTTTCTCTTCCTACTTTATTCCTTGCCTTGGTATAGTTCACTGATGGAAGCAATTTAGATATAAATGACTGATGGGTTTAAATCTTAATGGGTGTTTGAATTTTAACAGATAAGCTTTTTAACCCAAGCAAATGGTGATTGGATTTGGTAGAGTAGATGAGGAGTGGAGGTACTATAGACTGAGAGCTATAGGATGGTTGATCCTACCTTGCTTATTCTGTCTCAACCCCCCACTCTTTTCATTATTCTAACTGGGAACAAAATATATGGACTCAGCATTGTTTTAGAGCCTGCAGCTGCATTCCATCCACCCCTCCCCCCCTTCTTTTTGCAGAGCTCTCCCCAGCTCTTTGGGACTTAGTAAAAACAAAGAGTCATTACTGGGGAGAGAGTGGGTTGGCACAGCCCACAGGGAAGACGCAGGGCCACCGATGTGAGGGTCTTCTGTACACTGCTCCTCTGTTTTTCTCGAGAGCCATGATAATTTAATGTTGCCTTGCTGATTGCTTTAAATCCTCTCTGAAGAAGTATGCTTACAGATTTTTTTCCTATGTGAAATATGTTTAGGGCTTTAAATTAATAGATTTAAATTTAAATTTTCCACAAAGGATACTTTTCCTTAATGAGAAATTTTATTTGTCTTTTTACATCAAATATGACTGAAATTGTACCTTAACTGTCATGATACTGTCATATATAGGCATATTTGACGTATAACTAAGCATTGTTAAAATATCGTTTTAAAACTGAACATATAATGTTAAAATCATTTTCTGTTTCCCTGATGAGACTCACACTAAGCACTGCATGGTTATACTCTTCCTTGTTACTAATTATAAGATTTTTTTCCCTCAGTGATGTCTTTAGAAGGCCAGAATTTGGGTCTTGGCTGGTTAGCTTTTAAGCATATTTGCTTTTGTGCCTGAACATGTTCCCTTAGGTTGAAGTTTTCTTCTAAATAAATGCAGACTGAAATATTAAAGTATAGCAATATGCTGCTAAAGAGTAGAAATTCTGAAAGTCATTGATTACCTGGATTTTTATTATCACAGTTGGGCAGCAGCCTTTGTAGTATTAAAAATATAAATTGTGACTTCACTGTTCATTTTACCCCTGTTCCTTAATGGAAAAAGGTGCTCAGAAAATTAGATGGTCATTGAAGGCATTTTCTGGATTCAGAAAGGTGAGGAAATATCTATGGTAGCAGTTGATTCTCATTTCTAAACTCATGAATATCAGGAGGTGAATAAATCATCCAAAATTGCTTTGCTGATTCTGAAGAGAGTGAATCAACCAATTCTCACAGTTCTAATCTGTACCTAAGATACTTACAACTAAAGGTTTACTAGGATTATAAATCTCTCTAGAACAGCATATTTAGACAGAAATGGTAGCCGGTACGTTCACATGGGCTACTGCATTGTGATCTTCAAGTTACAACATTCAGAGGGGTATAATGGTATAATGCACCCAATTTCCAAAAGCAACATTTTTATTGTGAAGTAAGCTTTATAAAAATCAAGATAGTTGTATCTACTGATCTGGTACTGAAAATGTGACAGGTGATAATTTTCCACAGATGTGTTTCAGTACATTTTTAAAAACTAAACTCTGTATTTGCATGCTTGTTGAAAGTTTCTTGTCTAAAGACACACAGTTAATAGAGGCAGAGCTGTAACTACAGTCTTGTTCTTCACACTGCTAGGGAGAAGTTCTTCCTGCCATACTGTAATAGCAGTTGTTACTGATGCAGTTATCAACCAACGTAATTGTTCTAAGCAATAAACTATAAACAGGTAGCCTAATCAATGAATGTGTTAATAGGTTAATTTGTTGTTCTGCTTTTTTCTTATTCACTGTGCAAACATTCTTTCAGCCTTTAGTAGTGCCAAGTGCTTGTTATGTACTTTGTGTGAAAAGATGCAGGGATGGGCATGGCATGGGCTCCACCCTCAGAGAACGCACAGTCTTAACAAACACATACAGACTAATACTTAGAAAATAATTCATAATGTAGGATTCATCCAGAACCCTCCACTCAGAACTTCTATGGAAATGGGGGACTATCAGGAACAAGGCGTATATGTGTATTTGTCATTGGTATGAAATAGCCTTTTAAACAAGGGTTTTAGTAGATACAAAATGTCACATCTTGGCAATAGGTGTGTAAAATTCCAGAAGACCTATTTAAGAACTGTGTGTGTGCATGTGCACACACACAAAGGTAAGTGTGTGGTATGTTATAATTGAGATAAAATCTGAAATGGCAAAGTTTTCAATAGTGAATAATGCCCATATCTGCTGGCATGTGGTAGCCTTACAGAGTGGACTTGCCTCAGGCCTCAGGGACTCATGTCCAGGGAGTAATTTCCCCAGGGCAGTGAGAAATAATGCTAACTTTGTCACAGTATATGAGATTCTAGACCTCGGTATTAACTCAGTATTTGTTATGAGAATATTATTCTTAAATTCTTTCTAATTTAGTTGCTTACTTTCAGACTCAGCAATCCCAGAGGCTTTAGAAAATAGTTTTACATAACATAATTTTTAGAAATAATAAAATAATAATTATTTTTTGAGACAAGGTCTTGCTCTCCAGGCTGGAGTGAAGTGGCACAATCATAGCTTACTGCAGCCTTGAACTCCTGGGCTCAAGCAATCCTCCCTCCTCAGCCTCCCAAGTAGCTAGGATTATAGATACACAGCCATGACTGGCTAATTTTTTGTTGTTGTTGTAGAGATGGGTCTCACTGTGTTGCCCAGGCTGGCCTCAAATTCCTGGCTTCAAGCAATACTCCTGACTGGGCTTCCCAAAGACCTGGGATTACAGGTTTAAAGCACCATACCGGGCCTAATTTTTAGAAATCATGTTTAAGAATTTAAGAAGAGGACTGAAAATAGAAAATATTTTCTATAAGTACCATGCAGTATCTCCTGTGAAACACTGAGTCACACACACTTTTCCCAGAATGAACAAGGAATAGCCAGCCAAACAAGTTCTAAATGTATGCCTTCTAAAAAGGCACAATGACCTTCCGAAGATGAAATTGGCATTTAACTGGTAACTTTAAAGGCTTGAATACTGCTATAAAACTCTTTCAGTAGAGTCATTAAACAGAGGGTTGGATTTTTCTTCTCGTTTTTTTATCCCCAAACTTAGCAAAGCCTTCAGAGATATTTTGTTAATTATTTATTTTACTTTGTGGGGGGTGTGGAGAAGATTGGGTTTGAAAAACAAAATTATACAGTATTTGAAGTTAGTAGGCAATTTCAGCCCCCTTGAAAATGCTTCCTGCAGATTGTCCTTCCCTACCCTACTTGGTTCCTGGGGAAGCAAAGATAGCTATCAGCTTGAAATACACAGCAAAGATAAAAATAAATCCCCCGCACTGCCATACCTTCTTAGATAATATGCCTTCCCTCCGACTTCTTTCCCTTGATGTTTTGGTTTGGCTAGCCCACTGGTTTTGCCAAGGGTTGTGTTTAGTCAGTCGGCTCTGAATGTTGCCAGCTAACAGCTACCTTGATACTCTTGGCTCTGAGTGTAATTAATACCAGAAGAATGTTAAAATTATATTTCTTTATAAAGGTAGTTCTGTTTTAATTTTTTTAATATTACAGTGGTTAACATGCATAGATATCATCTAATATTTTTGCTGAATTACACCTCTTTAGCCACCTGTTAATTTACTAAGGTGTTAATAAAATAGTAAATTACCTAATGTTAAAAAAATTTTAGTTTTTATATATACACACACACAACACGTACACACACACTTTTTTTTTTTTTGAGACGGAGTCTTGCTCTGTCGCCCAGGCTAGAGTGCACATTTTTTAAAATCTCATTTTACCCAGGAGATGGGCTGCCCCTGGGAACTCTGGAAACTGCATATTTTCTCACACAATAATTGAATCATACTTTGAAACTATTGTAAATTGACTAGAGTACTCGGTCTAGGCCACCCCTTGCCCTTGAAGAGCTCAGAATAGCAGAGTGTGGGAGAATAACTTTGATTGTATGTTTGTGGTGCCTGAGGAAACTATCTCAAAGTACTCACGGATCATACCCTTACACAGGCCCCACTGTGAGCTACAGCAAGACAAGCCCCCCAAAGCATGAGCACAAACAGGGGTGCTCACCCTGCTCTGTCCTTCACCAAACTGCATCACTTTGGAATGCAGCAGCTGGAGCTATAACTAATATCTGAAGCTACCACAATTGCCTTAAATTGTATTCTTAGCAATGAGTTAAGCTTACTGCCTTCACTTAGCAAATATTTGTCAGTGCGCGATGTGTACCAGGCACCATGATAGACAGGTAGACACTGTGTAGACAAGGTAAAATAGCCCATTTGTATTCCTGACATTATCTGTTTGTCGATAAAATTTGTCACTAATTGGCTTTGCTTTTTTGTTTCCCACCAAAAACTGAACTTGTAGAATTGAGTTATTTATGTTGCAGGCAGTATCACTTTAATAGTACTCACACTTATTTAAGCTTGGAAAATAATATTTTACCAATTCTTTGATACTTTGTGGTCCCTTAAATTTAACCATCCCTTACTCTGTCACCTATGTTGGAGTGCAGTGGCTCAATCATAGCTCACTGCAGCCTACTGGGTAGCTGGGACTATAGGCACGCATTACCACACTCTGCTAATTTTTTCACTTTTTGAAGAGACACGGTCTCCCTATATTGCCCAGCCTGGTCTCCAACTCCCGGACTCAAGCGATCCTCCCGCCTCAGCCTCTCAAAGTGCTGGGATTACAGGGGTGATCTACCACCCAGCCCCACCTTCTTGAGGAGTTAGGTTTCACCTTGGAGATCAGTGCTTCTTATCTATAAAATTTCCCTGGAGAGCTATGATGAGGTTTGGAAACCTGGACTTAAAACAATTTTTTTCCCCCAGATATTCTTAGGATAGCTCGATTCACTGTCATAACAATGTTTGGAGACTATACATATATATAGGTACGTATACATTCTCTTCTCAAAAGAAGCTTCATGACTTCCATCAATTTCTGGGTAACCTCTGACCTCTCTAATATGAGAAAACTACATCAGTAAATGAGTGGCCTTCAAATACATTTACAAATAATTCACAGGCAAAACTGTTTTACATCACATAGCTTTACACATATAGATGTAGACATTCACACAACTGAAACAAAAGTTCCACAACATAGTCTTTACCCATACTTCATCAATGTACCCTGATATGTTCTATTCCATTCTCTTTCATTTAAAAAGAATCCTAGTCACAATTCACTAAATTAATGCCATGACCTTCCAATGGGTCACAATCTATTATAGCTTACCAAACATGGTAGGAGATTATCAACTATTTAAAAAATTTTAGCCAGGGAGTCATGTGGTCAGATTTGCATTTTAACATGCTTCTCCAATGGCTGCCTTGACTTAGTCATTCCTTATACATGGGATTCCTTACATATGGGAGGAGAAGAAGAAGAAGAGATAAGGATGGCTCTGTATTTATTACTTGAGCGTTTGGTTAGGTGGTGAGGCCATTATTCAAATCTGAAATAGACGAAAAGAGCAGGTTGAGACAGGAGACATGGGTGTGTTTGGTTTAGAACATGTTATCCATGAGGTGTTCAGGTTACACTCCAATCCTCATTCTATCAGAATGGAGCTGCCCAGGGGGTATTCCCATTGGAGAATTGGAACAAAAGGATTTTCAAAAAGCAACTCCAAAGGACATTTTATTGGGTTTAATTATACCTGGAACCTTAGTCGTAAGAAGAAAGAAAAGGTAGATTTACAGATGAAATTCTGATGTGAAGCCCTATTTAAAGAGTAATTTTTTTTCTAGCTGTTAAAGAATACTGGTTTACATATGAATACTGAAAGCATGACTATTGTTACTTTTAATTACTAATATTTAGGTAATTTGAAGCTCCTTTTGTTAAATTTTGCCCATATTAATTAAGAACAATGACAGGCTAATAGAGATTAAGTGTGGTATATTCATTTAGTGGAATAATATACAACAATGAAAAGCAGTAACTTATAACTCTAAGCAGGCAGAAGAATACATACGGTATGATGCCGTTTTTATAAAGTTTAATAACAGGAATAATCAGACAATCTATTTGTAGGTTTATGTATATTATAAAATTATTAAAAACCAAAAAAGGGATGACAGTTATGAAAATGAGAACAGTGGTTACCCATGAAGGGAAAGGCAGGCAGAGGGAAAAGGAGAGGAGTATGGATGGATGTGTTATTGCTCACATTCTAGTTCTTGAGTTTACAGGTTCTTATTATGACATTGAACTTCATAACTATCAAGCTATACTTATTTTGCAGAAACAAATATGTTAAAGTTGTTCTCATTATCATTAAAGATAATTTGTCATCTTTATGGGTTAAATAAGAAAAACCAGAACATGTTTCAATAGATGCCAAAAAGGCATTTTAAATCTGTATTTCCTAATTGTTCGAGAAACATAAAAGAAATTTTTGGAGATGCCAAGTTCAAATATGACAAGACTCTAAGGAGAAAAACTGGATATTAAAGGTTTAAAAAAACAAGTTGACAAGGAGAACAGAGAAGGCAGGTCTTGTTATCTAGAGCTAGACACCAGCTAATATCTTGGTAGTCAACTACTTGATAGAGTTGCTTTGTCATCTATCAGTGGAGAAAGAAAGTTTTCTCTCTGTCTGTGATCTCTCTCTCTCCAGTGGAAAGAAGGTGCAGGCAGAGTTGCTGGTGTTATCAAGGGTGTGGGAGTGGAGGTTACTTTCCTTTCTGAGTTAACACTTGATGTTTTGGAGCAGTGGCATTGTAAAGTGTCCTAGGAAAAAGTCCAGTCTAGAAAGGACAGATTAGGGGAATGAAAAGCAGCAGTTGGTTGAATTTTAAAAGATGAGGTTCTTAGGGGGCTTAGGGTAATAAAACTCAGAATGCAATAGCCAAGTGATTAAAGAACTAAATTGGGCCCACATCAGTAGAGGGTTGGTACCTAAGCAGCCATAGGAAAAGGGCAGTTCTTTATAATACATGAAAAGCCTAGGGTTTAATAACCACTTAGTAAGGTATGTTATGGATATCTTATTTTAGAGTAAGAATATAAGGCATAGCCATATTTATGAAGGTAGTAATACTCTACTAATCAATACTTAGAAGTTTTTGTTATGACTAATCTGAATGCTTTTTAGTTTTTCCTTAATCTAGTTATGTTGGTAATTTATAAGTCAGTTTTCAGATTAGGAAAGAAGGTATTTGAGGGTGTTCCATTTCCACTGAATAGTAAGATGATGCTTACTTAGATTTCCACAGCTGTTTGAAAGCTCTGTATTTGGCTATAACGGAAAACTTTGTTAGGGATGCTTGATGTTTTGTGTTTTGTTTCTAAAGGAAGACAGTGTTTTGTTCCTTCTTTAGAAAACTTGAAGAATAGAATAATGAGTCCAGGATTAATTTGGGATAAAGTCTTTTACTTCATAAATTCTGATTCTGTAAAAAAAAAAAAATCTCTAACCTCTTTCAAGAATATTTAAGGTAATTGGTCAAAGGGCAAGTATCAGTGATAACCTAAAATCTAGTTATTATTTTTATGCAGCCTTTATTGTTTTTCTGATTGAAAAACAAAGTGAATAAACATTTGTAAAGTGTATAAAATACACATAAGAATAAAGATGAGTAATAAAAGGGTCCCTAATAGTGAAAAACAGTTTTATTCAATTTCTTTCTAGTCTTTTCTTCTTGCTCACACTTACATTTTTAAAATTGCAGGCTTAATGTGTTTATTGCTTTTTTATATTCTTTTTTCATTTAGCATGTATCATGAGCATTTTCCTATGTTATTAAATAATAAAAGTTGCTTTTAAATAGCTACCTAACATTTCATTTTATGGATGCACTATCATTTAGCCATTCTCCTATTACATGTATGGTTTCTGTATAACAATAATGGTATGATTAAAATCCGTGTGCATAAATTATTATTGCTATCTTTATTTCCTCAGGATAGATTCCTAGATATGGCATTTATTAGGTCAGAATACTTTTAAAGTTTTCAATAACTGTCACCAAATCATTTATCCCATCTGAATCCCCCACCCCCAGAAAGCTGCTGCTGCCTTATATTCCCACAGCTGTTCGAAAGTGCCAGTCACAAGGGGTTTTCCCCAGCCAATATTGGATACATGTTTTTTGAATTTCAAAATTAATCATTTGATAATGTCTAAAAACTGTTTGACAGCGTGATTTGTTTGATTATAATCTGACATGAGTAAAATACTGCAATGTTTTAAGATAGCGTAAAGTAACATCCAGTGCCTTGTTGTCTCCATCTGGTATTGCTAGGAGTGGTTTTGAGTTTTTCATTCCTTTATACTATTCATGCTTTCTCCCAATATGGTGGGGAGAGTTTTTATTTTAGTAGTTCATGGACTCCCTTTGACAAAATTACTCTATTTCTCTAACTTTTAAAAATAATTATTCTATTTATATAACTTTTTACATACTGTATTTTGCTATTTTGACATTTTTCTTTACCATTGTTTGTGGTCATAATCATTTAGTGCTTTTGAATTTCTACCTTCATCTTTAGATGCCTGTCTTCTTTAAAAGAACATTGCAAACGTCTCACAAAGCCTAGCGGTATGGATCTCTTTTTTTCATGGAGCAATGCTGTGAGTTATTGGCCAGGGGATAAAATGTTTTACTACTTTATATAGTTTCATTATTTTAGAGGGACTCTGTGGTATGTGGTTCTACCTCCTAGCAGAATTAAATAACTATCTAAAAGATAAGCAAAAGTTTTGTAATATCAGTTATTCAAATATAGTAATTACCTTAATTACCCATATGTAAACCTTTGCCCTTTTTTGCCAAAGTGTCTCTTTCTCTATGTGAAGGCATAGATTTGATGGCTTTGCCAATGGCCTAACCATCCTTAGAAATCTTTTTAGTCCTATATTTCTTGCAATTATAAATCAGTCTGTCTAAGAAACTTGACAGGCCCTCTTATTTACATCAGACATGCCAACCTCTTAGAAATCAGAACTGTAGTCTCTAATTTAGCTCTTGATGTGTTGTGCATATCAATAGCTTTATACATGTGAAATTAGAAATAGTTTTATTTTCTTTATAGGCTTGAAGAAAATTAACAAACAAATTTGACTTATGAAAACTGAATAGAAATAAATTTTATGGAGTAAACCAGACTCTGCCTCAGGAATGCATTTTCAGAGTAGATGTTCGGAAACAGATTTATAAAAATTAAAATACTATATGTTTGGTTCATTTTTAGGGCTACCTATAGCTTGATACAAAAAAAAAAAAACACCCCCACAGACTTTAAAATACTGTTTGTATTTATGAAGATTGAATGCTTTAGAGTCATAAAGTTGTGATTCCCATGAGAACCCTTAATTCTATTTTCTTTGTTTCTTTGTTGTGCTGTAGCTAGTATCTGGGACTCTGGGAATCTGAAAGCAGTATTTTTTTTTTTTTTTTTTTTTTTTTATGGATAGGGCACTTGGGAAGCAGTGTTTGCTACCCTTCTAGAGGAGCAGCAGGCATCTGTAATTTTTCAGCCTTCCATGGACACCTGTTTTAGCTGATTCATTCTCATACCTTATCTTTCTGTATTTTGAGTTTGAGACAGTTGGAAATATTGCTAGTTGTTTTCATTATTTGTTTATTTTTCCAGATACCTTATTTGGTTTCCATTTACACTAACACTTAAGCTTTGACCCAGAAGACTTGTAGCCCCTTATTTTTCTCTAAATTATGAAGATTCAGAATGAGTATAGTTAACTTTTGATTATCCGAAGAGCTTGTTACCAGAAATTACTTCAAAAATAAAACATCTCATTATAGTAAGGAAGGCATGTGTGTGTTAGAATCAAACAGGTCAGAATTGGAGTGGGAGCTCCCCAATATTGTCTTTGTATTATCAAAGCAAACATTTTTTGGCACTTACTGTGTACCGGGCCTTGTGCCAAACACCTTAGATGGGTTATCTCTGAACTTCACATCAGTCATATGAGGTGGGTAATATCATTATCTACATTTTACAAGTATGGAAACTGGGGATTACTGAGGTTATTTGCCCAAGGTAACACAGATGGTAGATTCTGGAGCCAGAGTTGGAAACTGGGTAGTTTGCTCCAGACCCAATGATCTAGCATCCTAGATGTGGTCCATTAGGGCTCTCTCTTTTCATCCGTTTGTAAAAGAGAAGTTTTCACTTTCTTCTCAAACCATTGAGAAACAACTTGGAACTGGAAGTGCAAAGGGAGAATTCTAAAGAAAGCGTTTTAAAAAGGAGAAAGAACAAGAAAGCAGGACACCATTTCCTACCTTTGGTATTCTCCAAATAGTTGGCACCAATTCTCATAAAAAAAAAATGGCACAAAATGGTGCATATTTTTACACACACACTTTTGTAATGTTCATTTAAGATTTGACTACAATTTAATTAATTAAAATGATATACCCCAAATATTGTATGTCTTATTGCTGTTTCTCCTTGTTTAGCATAGACTGTGGTCTTGTGCCTTTGGTCCCCAGGGAGGACTTACCACAGTGGCTGCCTCAGCAATTCCAGTCTCTCATCATTCCTTCCTTAACTAGAGCATTTCTGAGTCTGTTTGTAATACATAAAATAAGTTCCCCGTAAGACTTACTTTGAAAAAAGCATTCGGTAACTTTACCCAAGAAAAGGCTCAAAAACAATTGATATTGAAAGCAGAGAATTAAGAGTTAAATATACTTCTAAATCTATATGGAAATATTCTGCAGACTTAACTATTGTTTGTCTTATTGGACTTACAAGTTTTCTTGGTGACATTGATTAGGTTGGGGTGAAACCATGTATTTTACAAAATCTGGGGCTTGGGCTTTTTGAGACTTCTGTTAACCTTGAGGACTTGCAGGTGTCAAATACCAGTCTCTCCCTAGATTTACACAACTGCTGCTGACTGCAGTCATGAATTCTAAGCCCACTTACATTTGCCAGCAGTTCTTCCTGGCATAATGCAAAAGAACGTTGCTCAAGGCTCCAGGGTACAAGGAGAGGAGATTGGCAATGAATTGGAAGTTGCGATTCATATTTAAGATTTTTTTTCCTTGTAGAATTCAGGTTTGGGCTTTGTTTCTGAGAAACCATTTTTTAAAACAAAATTCTGCTTCCTATTTGACAAGAAGAATTACTAAACTTAGAATTATTTAGTATGGTTACATTCTAAATTCTTTAAAAATACAAAATGGTTTTAAAGAGGTTGGGTCATACTTTCAAATGGAATTTCGTGAAGCCAGAGTATTCGGCGAGTGTTTTAATAAAGACGAAGATACTTTTTAGAAAGAAAAATGTATAATATGAACTTAAGTCCCACAAACCCAGGAAGCCACTTGGCCTAGGCTTTGGGGCTAAACATAGCATAAGAGAGGTTAGAAACTTTCTCACCCTGACATTTGTACCACACAGCAGGCAGCTGTGTGGGGGTTTTTTTGTTTTTTGTTGTTTTTTTTTTTTTACCCTTCCTTTCATCTTGTAATTTATTTTTGCCTTCTCTGGGGAACCCTGGTTCTCAACAGATTCTTAAGTCATCTATTTCAAATCCATTTATAATTTTTTAGTATCCCTGACATAAGGCACCTTCTGAGTGAATTTAATCTAAGTTTCTTCAGATAAATCTAACAAATATTTATTAGGTATCTACTCCACTGTGTTTCAAATATATATAAAAGTGGGTAAGACCGGCTGGGCGCAGTGGCTCACACCTGTAATCCCAGCACTTTGGAAGGCCAAGGCGGGCAGATCACGAGGTCAGGAGTTTGAGACAAGCCTGACCAACATGGTGAAACCATGTCTCTACTAAAAATACAAAAATTAGCCGGATGTGGTGGTGCACACCTGTAATCCCAGCTACTCGGGAGGCTGAGGCAGGAGAATCGCTTGAACCCAGGCGGCAGAGGTTGCAGTGAGCCAAGATCGAGCCGCTGCACTCCAGCCTGGGCGACAGAGCGAGACTCTGTCTCAAAAAAAAAAAAAAATGAGGAAGACCATGGTCCTTGCCTCCAAAGAACTCACAGTCTGGTGGGAGAGAAAGGCAAATAAATGAGTACTTAGCATATACAATGTAGTGAAGGCAGCAATAGCGATGAGCGCCTAGAGGTGAGGGGACCATGGAGACTCAGAAAGCGGGCTTCTAAACGCACCTCACTGAGAAAGCAAAGGCTCCTGAGGGAAGGACTCCTAAGCTGAACTCACATTAAGTTAGCATGAGCTAAGGCAAGAAGTGGGGACACAGAGTAGCGTGTTCCGGCACCCAGCAAGCACGGTATTGCTGCTGGACATGAAATACAATGTGGAGATGAGGCCCAGTTAAACTGGTTTAGTAGCAAGAGTGCTGACAAGGAAACATATATACTGTTAAGAAGCTTACATCTACTACTCATAAGTAGTAGGAAGTCATGAAGAAATAAATGACCCTTGAGACTGACAGAGTCATATTGACATTTTGTAAGAATAGTTGTTGATAAAAACTGAATGATTATAGGATGGCAGCTGAATGATTAGATGATGGGATTGAGAATGGTTCAAAAGTGGAGGTCGAAAACCAAGTTGTCCAAGCAAAAGGTAATACTGAGCCAAAGCAGAGGAAAGAATATACATTTAAGAAATGTTTCGGAAGGAAAAAGCAGTAAGTCTTACGATTATGTGTTTGTTGAGGGGTGTGGAGTAGTGTGAGAAAGAGGAGTCAAATTTCACTCATCAGGATGCCAGTAATCTCAGCACTAAATGAATGATGGCTTATTAACTGGGCAATGTGGGAGGGTGGAAAGATTTAGGAACGAGATGATAATTTAGTTTATATCAGCTTTGTATATTTAAATTTTGGAAGGGACTGGTTAATAAAACAAAAATGAAATGCAGCTTTATGATAAGTTGCTGAACCCAATGGGAGGTTTTAGTTTTTGCCACCAAAGAAGAACTTGTGGCTTAGCCCAGCCATGACTGCATTTTGAAGAAACTATTTAGATTTTCTCGATGGCTGTCTCACTTCTCTTCCAAAACCACTTTGGCACTTGGTTCAACTTTGCATTCATTTTTAAACAAAGTTTCTGTTCTCTCATGCTCCATAGTCTGTATATCTTTTCCCTGATGCAGTATCTCTAGTACTAATCTGCTATTTCCATCTTTCCCCTGCCAGTAACTGTCATCACCCCTTTTTTCCTGGAAATACCCAACTACCAAACAACACACACTCAGACACCTGTGTTCTTCTAAATACTTTTTAGCCATGAAGCTACAAAAATGAATCATAAGAAAACTCCCTTTGAAGCCCCTTTTTAGCTGACGAAACCAACACTGGTCAGTTGTACAGTATTTAAAAATAAGAAGTACACTTAACCAGTTAATGGATTCATTTACATTAAGGTGCTCATTATCACATTCAAAGTAAAATATACACACATATGTGTGTGTGTATGTCTATATACACACATATGTGTGTGTGTATGTCTATATACACACATATGTGTGTGTGTATGTCTATATACACACATATGTGTGTGTGTATGTCTATATACACACATATGTGTGTGTGTATGTCTATATACACACGTGTGTGTGTATGTCTATATACACACGTGTGTGTGTATGTCTATATACACACGTGTGTGTGTATGTCTATATACACACGTGTGTGTGTATGTCTATATACACACGTGTGTGTGTATGTCTATATACACACGTGTGTGTGTATGTCTATATACACACGTGTGTGTATGTCTATATACACACGTGTGTGTATGTCTATATACACACGTGTGTGTATGTCTATATACACACGTGTGTGTGTATGTCTATATACACACGTGTGTGTGTATGTCTATATACACACGTGTGTGTATGTCTATATATACACACGTGTGTGTGTGTATGTCTATATATACACATACACATACTGAAACAATTCCATTCTTCCAGGCAAAATACCCTGGAGTCATCCTTGATTTCTCCCCTTCATTCCTTATATTTAGTATGTCTAGGAATCCTGCTGCCTGTACCTGCAAAATACATCCCAGATCCATCCATTTCTCCCTGTCCTGGTCCTAGGCATCATTATCTCGTTCCTGGACTTTCATACATATGTGCCACAATGGCAGGAATCTTTGTCAGTTTTATTCACTACTATGTCATAGAAACCTAAACAGTGCCTAGCACAGTAGTACTCAGTTAATATGTGTGGAATAAGTGAATTAAATGAAAGAATCAATTAATCCATGTCATCTTACCAGAAACACTAACATTTAGAAGGCTAATTTCATATTAATAGAGAAGCCATATTAAGAGAGCCAAAAATTACTCAAGGTAGTTTTTTGTAATTTCAGTTATATAGCAACTGAGTGTATTGGGTGTATTTTATTTTTAAAAATTAGTACTTTACTTCCATCGATGTTATTGTGTATTTGTAATTAAAATTGGTTTTGAAATGTTGCCGTCGATGATATTTTCTCCAAAATGGTCATAAATTTAAAAGAATACATTAGGGATGAGAATGCAGTTCTCAGGAATTATTTTTCTAATAAGACTGTATCCTACAGAAATAAGAGAAATAGGAAATCTCAGTATTAGGCTGCTATACTCTTTAATCCAGAACTAGAAATTTTAATACTGGATCCAGGGGAACCATGTGAAAAATAACAGGGAAAGCAATTTCACCTTACTTTTTCCTTGCTTAATATACATCTTGCTAAAGAGGAACAATGGAAGGAAATAAATGGACTTATTTTTCCTGAATTATTTATTAATTATAATTCCTGAATTATTGTTATATGACCTGAATTTTGGGGATAACTGCCAATATTTCTCTTTGTGCTAGAAAAATTTGGCATTTTGCACTACTCTCTTCAGTAAAATAGCTATCATATGGAAATTTCAGACGGCTCTAATATGTGTTGGATCCTCTCTACCCTCTGCCCTTCCCTGTCAGTAGGAATATTTAGCTCTTATTGATTTCTCTAATACTTAACTTTTTCTATTGCCAGTGAAGGCTACCCTCCCCTTCCTACTCCTCCACCCTTCAGCATTGGTTTGCACATCTGGGCTGATGTGAGAGGCTTTTTTTTTTTTCTCCCCTCAACCCATAATGTTTGGGCCTAAAGTCATAACTGCAGGTCTAGTTTAAAAAATAGCACATGTGGCTTTCAGGTTGAGGTTTCTATTTTCTGTTCTGATTCTAGACTATTCTGTCCCTAAACTGTGGAGCCTGAATAGTACATGCAAATATATTTCTCTAGCTTAAAGTATATTTTCTAGATTTTAAGGAAGTCACAGAATCAAGAGTCTAGAAATAATTTGAGAACAACAGAGAATTCTAATGTTTAAATGTTTGCAGTAAGTTTGTATCTAAGCTAATATATAGTCTATATATAGTCAAATAATAGATTTTAGATAAAATTAAGAGATGGACTGGCTTCCTGGGATGCCGGAGGGGAGGTGGGTTCTGAGGCCATACAAATTGGGAAACTATTCAGTATGAAAAGACCCACAGCAAAGAAAGTTATTTTGTTTAACTTGGCATTTCCTAAATTTATTTGAGGAAAGAACCCCTCTTTCACATAAGGAAACTTTTCAGCATGCTTCAGAAATGCTGGTGGAAAGAAAGCAAACACTTCAGTTCTAGGCCTGGCTCAGGCATTAATCCACCTTTTCATTTAACAAATATGCATTGAGTGACTACTTTGTGCCACGCACCACTTGAGGTGCTGACAATATATTCAGGGAACACAACAGACAAAAGCCTCTGTCCTTGCAGAGCTTATATTCTAGTGAAGGGAGAAAGACTATAAACATAATATGTTAGTATTACAAGGTAATGAGTGTTTCAGACAGCCATGGAGCAGGCTCGGATTTGTAGTACAGGGGTTGTCAATCTAAGTATGACTCTAACTTGAACAAATCACTAAGCCTCATTGTCCCTAATCTATAAAAAAGAAATTATAGATGATCTTGGCCCGCTCAGCTATATGAGTCCACTTTAACACCAGGAATTGTCATGTCAAACCATGGTACTGCTGGTTCACTGAGCATTTACAATCACCTTATCAGAAAAGGTGTCTGTCAAACAAGAATTCTGTAAGTTTGAATGATTTGTAATCCCACAGAAGAACAAAACACTTAAATAAATGAAGAAAACCCTTGCTGGTTCTATTTTTAATCTAATGTATACCTCAATCCAATATTGAGTAGAAAGTATTTGACTCAAGGACAGGAAACCTGCAGTAAAGGTACCAACAGCTTTTCAGCAGATGTTAGCATTCACATATGAGAAAGTTGCAGCAGTGTGCACATTGTGCTTCTGCCCTAGATCCTTATGTAAATAGGACGTCCGTGACTTGATGTTGAAATGACCTTTCAGGCAGTATTCTGTTGCCACATGCCTGAGCTTGTATCCCAGAGTAATTAGACGTTTTGACTTACACATCTTGGTATACAGTGTTTATGCTAATTATAAATGTCTGAAAGTTTCCTGAAACTTTTTCTTTGTAGCTTTTTATCAAAGACAGACAGGAGGTTGGGAGGAGGGTTGTGGATTGTGGTCCTAAGCCTTTGATTTTCAGTCTCTCATTTTTGGAATGAAAATTAAAATCTGCTTTTCCAGTTGCCGAGACATGGTGGTATATTTTTATATTCTTCATCTTGAACAAGAAACTGTTTGGAATCACAGCATTTTAATACTTTTTAAATAATATTTTATTCTTAAGGCATTTAGCTAAAAATTCAAGATTGTGAGTCCCTAAATAAAAATTATTCCCAACTGACCTGTAGGAAAAGCTTAAAATACTAAAATTAAAATGGAGAAGTTTCTATCTCACAAAGGAATGGTCTTCCAATATTGTTTCAAAATCAGACCTCAAAACTTATTTCCTGTGGTGGTTACCTCAGTCCTCAAAGCTGACCCTAGGTCTACCAGTAGCAGTCAGTACATTTTCACTTCCTCCTCCTCGTATTTCATGAACCTGAAGGCTAGTTTTTAAGAAAATGCTTTATAACCATTTTGGAAAAAAGAACTGTGTAGATACACAATGGAATAGGCTCCTGCATATCAGAGGGGACTGACGCATATCCACAGGTTCCTCTGAAACTCTGCCTGAATGGCTCTAGATTAGACAAGGTCTCAGACCCACCCTAGCTCTGGCCTTCAACAGTCCCACAGGTTCTGGTCTGCTCTGAAGTTGCCATAGTTTAGTTCTAAAGCTTCCCTCTCACCAACCTGCCCTAATTGTCATATATTACCTGCTCTTTCCAATAAGTCTCCTGCTTTCCTGTCCATTGGCCAAATTGTTACACAGCCTTACCAGCCATAAACATAAGTGCTACCTTATATACCCATTTCATTCTTAAGAGTATACTTGGATATTGATACAATTAACTTTGTGTCTAATTAATACATCTTCAAGAAATTAGATGCACTAAGTCTACAAACCCTTTTGAAATTTTAAGGATGTAAAATTTGCCTGAAAACATCTTGCTCTTGAAAAGCTTCAGATTAGCTCAGACCATACCATCTGCATTGATGCTGCTCTGAAACTACCAAGAAAAGGCAATGTAGAACTCTGATTGGCCTGGGCTTAGCTCAGACCATACCATCTGCATTGATGCTGCTCTGAAACTACCAAGAAAAGGCAATGTAGAACTCTGATTGGCCTGGGCTCCATGTCCCTTTGTTCCCTAACCTCTAAGCTCCACTTCAGCTCCATAGCTGCAAAGAAACTCATGACGTGCATCAAGAGTCACCCTTTGGTCCCAAAGTGAACACTATTTGCCCTGATGCCTGCCCCTGCCGTGTCTGCGTACTGCTCAAATATACCCATAGTGTTACACGCAGGTAGGAGAGACTGTTGAGAAGTTCTGCTATCAGAGGTGAGGACAGAGGTGGTTTGTTACTGATCTTTAGCAGTCTGAGAATCTTATCATTGTGTGTGGCATATGATAAGAACAAGGAAAAATGGTAGGGATTGAAAGCACTCTGCAGATAAGTTACTCTGTATTTCTTTTTTTTTTTTCACTTTATTTTTTATTTTTATAGACACAGGGTCTCATTGTGTTGCCCGGGCTGGTCTCGAACTCCCAGGCTCAAGTGATCCTCCCACCTCAGCCTCCCAAAGTGCTGGGATAACAAGTGTAAGTCACCACACCCAGCCTCTGATTTCTTTTCTAAGGGGATGACCTATTTCTGTTTATAATCCAAAATTTATCAGCCTTGGCCCTACTGATATTTTGTACTGCGTAATTGGAGGGAATGTCCTGTGCAGTGTAGGGTGTTTGGCAGTATCTCTGGCCTCCCACTACATGCCAATAGCACCCTCCCAGACCAAATGTCCTCTGGGGGACAAAATTGCCCCTTGTTAAGAACCACTGTTTTAATCTATGTGTAACACAAATTTCAAAACACTTTGGTGAGTACATAGCATGGATTATGATTTTTTAAAAACTTTGTTTCTTTTTAAGCTGATTCTATTCTAGTCATGGTCATATTTTTTAAATCTGTAGCTTTTTTCCTACTGAAGAGACTTTTAAAAAACAAGAATATGAAAGTCTTCTGTGTCCACCATCAGGCCAAACTATAATGCTTTAAGAGAAAAAAATGCATAGAAAGATAATTATTTTACCTTAAAAAGCATAAATGTTACTTAAGAAGTTAGGATTGGGTGGTTTGGAGGATGAGAAAGGAAAAAGCTACATTTAAGTAACAAAGGTTTGTTAAGAGCTTTCTGTAACACTCTGTTTAGTGGACATTTGAACTAAAGGACTCCAGCCATGAAGTTAAAAGTTTTCACTAAAAGAACACTGCACATTTGCAGAATTTGAGTACAGACTCTAATCACTCTTGAAAAATAGGGGGAAAAAAACTGTACAATTCAACCTTTTAAAAATGCAATTTAGGCTGGGCGCAGTGGCTCACGCCTGTAATCCCAGCACTTTGGGAGGCCAAGGCCAGCAGATCACGAGGTCAGGAGATCAAGACCGTCTGGGCTAGCACAGTGAAACCCTGTGTCTACTAAAAATACAAAAAATTAGCCGGGCGTGGTGGCGGGTGCCTGTAGTCCCAGCTACTTGGGAGGCTGAGGCAGGAGAATGGTGTGAACCAGGAGGCGGAGCTTGCAGTGAGTTGAGATCGTGCCACTGCACTCCAGCCTGGGCGACAGAGAGATTACGTCTCAAAAAAAAAAAATGCAATTTAGAGTCTACCAGATGGGATGGTCTTACATTCTCTGATAGGTATGGAAGTACTGCTATATTCCCAAACCTGAGCTATGCAGTAGGGAAAACTTTAGATCTAAACCGAAGCTGGAGCCTCATAGGAAGATGAAATATCATATGGAGATGAGACCTCTTTAAAACCACTTTTAAAATTTCTCCAACCAGGTTCTGCAGATCTAGATGAAGGGTTAGGGGAGAAGATGGATGGAAGTTAAATGAGTCATGCCTAGGGAGGGGATTTCATTCAGGTGTCCACACCTTTCTTACCTATCTAGGCATATCCCTTCTCTGTCAGCAGAACCCTGCTCTTCCCAGAGAAACAAAAGCAGACATTAGTGAGTACTGTTATACCAGTATGCAGGTAGCCTTATGTTCTCTTGTGCCTGACGCAAGCATTCCTTTGGCTCCTGTTTGCCTCTACTGCTGTAGGATTAAGAAGTTGCCAATATATGTATGCCAACTAGGCGCTGAGCGTGCACACCCAGTAAGACAGCCTGATGAATACCTACCTACAGAGTAAATTAAGACTTGTTCACAAAGTTACAGCACTTTAGAACTGGGGAAAGTTTTGGGAATTAAAGAGTAACGTTAGGGCCCTCAAAAGATATTTATAAAATAGATAAAAACACAGAAACTTGTGCCAGGAGTTGTCTCTAATTTCAAATAGGGAGTCAAAGATAGTTTAAATTCATGGATGATGGAGGCTCTATGGAGTATTATCTATCTATAGTATCTTTGGTGAAATTTGACCTTTTAAAGCTCTATACAAGTCATCTGAATCTCCTTTCAAAAAACATTTTTCTTTGATTTATTACTTCTTGTTCATTTATTCCTTCAACAAATATTTATTATATGTCTACTATGTGCCAGATACTACAATTGTCTCCCTTCTTACCTTTTTTTCTTTTTACCTTTTTCCAGGGTTGGGAGGAAGGGAAGGCAGGAATTGGTGACTGCAGTTCTTTCCTATAGGTCAAGGTTTGGGAGACTTTTAGATTGAGCAATTCAGTGGTTGCAGGTTATCTTGCAGGGCAGAGCAAAGGCAGGAATCATACATGCCTTTGCCCATGCCTGTGCCCATTCATGAGTGTGAGTGCATACACGCTAAGCAGCAAGTTAGTGCTGTCTTCATCTTATAATGGAAAGGACAGATTTTTTGGAGAATGAGGATTATAAAACACTTTTCCCTTCCCTACTTGTCTGCTAAATTACTAAGACTGTATGTTTGGGAGCTGAAGTTCGGTTAAGTCATATTTTACATTCTTGCCAACTAATCCTTTTTTTTAATTATCACCTAACACCATGCAGACCCAAGGGAGGAAAGGTTTCAGACACTAGGAAGAGTGGAGCAGTTGAAGGACAGAAGATTCCAATTGCACACACCTTTTTTGAGCCCCTACTACATATCAGGCAATGTGGCCAATGCAGGACCTCAGTGGTCTTTAACAACTCTGTCCCTTTGCTCCTGGGACTTCTCATCTAGTAGGGAAGCCAGCCCTTGAACAAGAGTGTAGAAAATACATCTGCCTGTGGTGAAACCCCGTCTCTACTAAAAATACAAAAAAATTAGCTGGGCGTAGTGGCGGGCACCTATAATCCCAGCTACTCAGGAGGCTGAGGCAGAGAATTGCTTGAACCGGGGAGGTGGAGGTTGCAGTGAGCCAAGATCGCGCCACTGCAGTCCAGCCTGGGCAACAGAGCGAGACTCCGTCTCAAAAATAAATAAATAAATAAATAAATAAATAAATAAATAAATAAATAAATATTAAAAATTTAAAAATAAAAATAACAACAACAACAAAGAAAATACATCTTCCTGTTCCACAGTGTTTCCTGGGGCTTAGCCTAGGAGTGACCTACAGAATCATCTCTGTAGGCTGCAGACCCTGTTTCTGTAAACATGAGGATGTATAATGGCATCTTAGGACAGCAGTTTTTACCTGTGAATGCAATTATGGCATTAACCTTATGCTGTTACTCTAAGAAGTTCAAAAATACTGCTCTAAGAAGCAAGAATTAAAATGAAATGTGTTTTTTTATTATAAGAGCCAAAGATTCGGATATGGACTCTTATCTCAGAGATTGCTTCAATATATAGAAGCTATTTAGAAGGGGGTCATGTAAGCCAAAGACAAAACTTGTATTGCTCAAAAGAGGAAGAGCTTTTTACAAATTCACTAATAACTCTTTCATAAGAACTGTAACCATTTGCTACTTTGAAATGAAAAGGGTTCCTCTTATAAACTAATAGAAACTATTGAGCAGAAGTGATTACTGACACTTAAAGGTAGAAAATGGAAATAAGAATCTGGTAAGTTATAGGCATGTTTGCCAGATTCCTTGAATTGTTTGGTCATTTAAATGCTGCGAGGATGTATATATCAAAAGGGCTTAGGTCTAAAATGATTTTCACTAGAAAAACCAGTAAGTCAGTCTTAAGACTTTTCTATGGCAAATTTATAATTTGAGGCGTTTCTCTCTTTTCCCCTCATTTTAGCTTGTCAAAATTCCCAAAAATGATCCCCTCAATGAAGTTCATAACTTTAACTTTTATTTGTCAAATGTGGGCAAAGACAACCCTCAGGGCAGCTTTGACTGCATCCAGCAAACATTCTCCAGGTAAGTACTTTTCAAGGTACACTGAAGGGGAAAAATTTTTTATTTAAGAGGGTTTTAGAAAATTAAACAATACAATACATAATATTCATCCATAAACGTGTATTAAATTGAATTACAGAGCTCATTTATTTATCTGAAAAATATTAAGCACCTACTGTGTAATAGAAATTTCATTTGTAATGGGGATATAATCACAACAGTTCAAAGATTTTTGGTCTAATGGGGCTTTTAAGGTACAGAAGATATTTTTTAACCTATAAAAATGCAGTTTTTGAAAACTAAAGGCAATTTGAGGATTTTTTTTAGAAATATTTAATTCATTGAATTTAAGCAAGAATCTTATAGCATATTTGAGGCTCATACTCCAGGGTAAAGAAGTTAAAAATATCCATCTTGCATGCTTTCTTCCTTCTTCCCTGTTCAAGCCATGTTCTAAGGTAGAAGGTAGATTTTTAAACATCTTTATTCTACAGCTGCATGGAAACTAGAAATTAACCCAGTAAAGCAGTCTCTCCTTCTTCTTAAAAAAAAAGAAAAAAAAAAAAAGGAGGAGGAAGACAAGAATATACACACCCACACCCTAGGGTACCATGGGACGCTTATCTACTTAGATCCTCTGTAAACAATAAGCCACTTGTTTCACTCTTCATTGCTTTGGTTGTTTCTGATTAAAGAATAGGCCCTTGAGCAGGAGTTTGTTCTGCCCCTGGATATAGACAAGGGAGGTTAGGGTCTCTCTCATTTCCTCCTCATGTAAGGCTTTGACATTAGCCCCAAGTACCCTAGACCAGCGTATCTCTGTGACTTATCTGTGCAGTACTTGAAACTATGTAAGTACTTGCTCAATGTGGGGGAAAAGAAGAAGCAAAGTTGTGTTTCCAGCAGGTACAGGAGGCAGAGATACAAAATAAGACACTGACAGAGTTTTACCTTTATCCTCCCATTTAAGGTGTCTACGTAACTTTTTGTTATTTAATCTGTCATTTTCCCCAAGGATATATTCATGTTGCTTTCTGAAAATTACCCACCTTCAAACTTAAATGTTTTGGCATAAATTGCTATATTGTAGATTATATAGACTTTTCTGTGCTGTCCACTGTGATGGCCACTGGCCACATTGGCTATTTACATTTCAACTGATAAAAAATTAAATAAAATTTAAAACATCATTGCACATTCACACTAACCACATTTTGTGGTCTCAGTAGCTACCTGTTACTATCATAGTAGACAGCACAGTTATATAACATTTTCACTCTTGCAAAATGTTCTATTGATCAGCACTATGATAGATTATAGAATCACCAAGTATTAGGGTCCTTAGTGATTGTGTGAGTCAATCCCTTCATTTCACAGGTGATTTATCCAGAGTTATGTAGCTGGTTAGTTAGTGGCTAGGCTAAATGAGAACTGAGTTCTTCTAATTCCCACCCCAGTATTCTTTACACACAACATGGTACACTAATTTTTAATTGTGGTGCTTGTCTCTAGATTGTTGTTTTATTATAGTGAGCACATTTTGATATCAAATTGAACAATGTCCCCTTAGGAATTTTATTAAGGAGCTTAATCCTCTCTTCAAAAGCATTCATATCATTGTAAGTAATATGGCTTTACTCTTACATTATAAATACCCTGTGTGGTTATTTCTACCTTCCTTGTTTGGAAAGGATTTAAGGTCACTTACAAAACTATGTATGATGCAGTAAGAGAATAGAAACACTTATTGTGAAAATATTGGGGCAAATGTATCCCCTCTGTATAATCCAAGGTGCCTTATAAAATGAGGTAGTAAGGGTATAAATTGAAGTCTGCCACTAGGAAAACAAAAGCACTAGCTTTTGTTCTCAGGCTTTCACTTCACAGCCTGGCAAGCTGACCTGTCCATAATCTGGCTTCACCTTTTCCATTCAATTTAATTTCCATTTTCCTTATGGATCTTTTCTCTCTGACCACAGTGCATGCTCTTCAAGGTCAGAGGCTTTCTTATGCCCTTTTTCTAATTTCACAGTGCTGACTGAGCTCAAAATACATGCTTATTGACTCAACCTGGAGATAAAAGGGTAAAAACAGATGCTCAGTAAATAAATGTTCAACAAATACAAATTAACTAGTCTTCTTATCTATATTTTTAAACTTCCTTGATTCTCACTTTTCTCATATATAAAATGAAATCAATGTCACAGTCAAAATTGCCTTTCAAAAATTCCTTAAGTCTACCCATTTTCAGACTTAGTGAAAAATATATAGTCTAGGACCTATAGTGTATAATAATGCACACTTAAGCGAAGGAAATGGTGAGCTAGGCTAGAGAAAGACTAAGGGAGCATTTATATACATTTGTCTAAAATATTTAAACTTTCAGGGTAACTCGGTTGAGAAGGGATGAGTGAAGAATTCTAGAGAGTACCTTCTTGCCTACAGCGTTTAGCTCCGTTTGTTTTGCATAAAGATCTGTTTTCTGACTTCGCATGAGGGGCAGTATGTTCAGCTTATTCTCACTATGTAAATTACTTAGTAAATAATAGGAAGAGATGTTGAAATACAAACTTTCTGCCACCAGACCTTCACTCTATTGCAGTCATTTTCTCCCACTCTCCCCCCTCTCTCCCACTTCCTCTGAGGATTACCTTCCCCTCTCTCAGCATTCCTCTGTCAGTGGGTTTTTTTTTTTTCCTTTGGCATGCAAACATGCTCAAGTCTGTCTTATTAAAAAAGAAAATAAAAAACAAAAACAACCTCTCTTACATTCACTTCTCAACCCAAAGTCTGGCTTCAGTGCCCACCATTCCACTGAAACTGCTTCCCCAAGGGAGCTGTGACCTCCCTGCCCCCAAAATCCAGTGGATGTGTTATTGGTTCCTTATTATTCTGGACTTGTTGCCAGTGTTGCACACTGTTGACCACTCTCTCCTGCTTGAAGCGTCTGTTCCAGTGGCTTACATTACACAGTACTCTTCTGGTTTCCTTCCTACCTCTGTAGCTGTGGCTTTTCAGTCTCATGTGGTCTTCTTTTCTTCCTTTTGCTTAAATACTAGTGTTCTTCACAGTTGGTTCCCTCCTGAGACCCCTTCTCTCCTCATTCCTTCAAGGTCACCATCTCCAACACTGAACTTATGTTCTTTGTCCCAGTCCTGTCTCCCAACCTGTCCTTCATCTTGTGTTCAGTGTTTCAGTACATAGCAGCTTCCATATACCTCGTGACCTGGGCATGATCTTTAACTTTTTTCCCCCACCTCTCTCTGAGTGTGGCTAACTACTGACCACGTTTTGTCAGTTCCACTTCCTCACTATCTCTGGAAGCTGTGTACTATTCTACACTCTCACTGCCCTACTCTGGTTCATGCCATCACTGCTTGCCTGTAATCCTTCAGTAGCATCCTAAGTGGCCTCTTTTCTTTCCTTCTGGTGTCCCCCTTCCTCTCAATCTATCCTCCATCCAGATTGAGCTTTCTGCAATACAAATGAGTTATTTTCTCTCCCCTGATTTCAGCCTCTCGTTATCCTTTGGATAAGGTCCAAAACCTGTAACACATGACCCTCAGAGCCCTTTGTGATGTATTTCTCATTCCCTCTTCAGCTTCAGCTGTAATTGTCCTTCCCAACTTTCTTTGGACAATTTGAAAACCTTCTTTTTGCTCTTCCTGGCCCTGCACAGATTAGTTGTCCTCCCTGAACACTTTCATTCTTCTTCCCCCTTGCCCAGTCATCTTTCTAGATCACCTCAGGCATCACCTCCTCTGGGAAGTCCAGGTGAGATTACCTTTCTGGGAGTCCTCTGCTCCCTGGAATTTGTCACACTGTGTTATGATTTCCAGTTTGTCCATCCTTGTCACCCATTAGTTCCTTGAAAGAGGGACCACAACTGTTAGTTCTTGTCACAACCTCTCTGCTTCACACATTGCTAGGCATGCAGTCCCTGCCCAATAAATATTTATGAGATGAATTAACTGGTTTTTGTGTGTGTGTTTTTCTTAAATAGCATTTGTAAAGACAGTTATTAGCAATTTATAAAGATTTTATCAGCCAGGTGCGGTGGCTCACGCCTGTAATCCCAGCACTTTGGGAGGCCAAGGCGAGTGTTCATGAGGTCAAGAGATCAAGACCATCCTGGCCAACATGGTGAAACCCTGTCTCTACTAAAAATACAAAAATTAGCTGGGCATGGTGGCATGTGCCTGTAGTCCCAGCTACTTGGGAGGCTGAGGCAGGAGAATCACTTGAACCCGGGAGGCAGAGCTTGCAGTGAGCCAAGATTGCACCACTGCACTCCAGCCTGGCAACAGAGCGAGACTCCATCTCAAAAAAAAATTATCAACCTTTATTTCTTTGTATTATAACAAAGTTACTTCTAATTAAGTTTGGATATAGATGATCAGAGCTGTAGTGTCACTTTCATTAGTTTTATATTCCAGTTTGTTTTCAGGCCATAGCAATTTCTTTATAAAATACCAGTTATGACTGTGACCATGATCCCCCTAATATTAACATGTTACTTTGAAACAGAGCCATCTTCTAGGTCCATGTTAATATTCATGATTATTTCAATAAAAAGTGTTTTGTTCTGTTTTGTTTTTTTGAGATGGGGTCTCATTCTGTTGCCCAGGCTGGAGTGCAGTGGCGCCATCTCAGCTTACTGCAACCTTCACATCCTGGGCTCAAGAGACCCTCCCACTTCAGTCTCCTGACTAGCTGGAACTTCAGGCACACGCCACCATGCCCAGCTAATTTTTGTAGAGATGGGGTTTCTCCATGTTGCCCAGGCTGGTCTCAAACTCCTGAACTCAAGCAATCCACCTGCCTTGGCCTCCCAAAGTGTTGGGATTACAGGGATGAGCCACCGTGCCTGGCCTTTAAAAAAAAATTGCTATAAAAATCATTTGCCCTGTGTTTTCTTCAACATTTGCTAATAAGTAGGTCATCTTATATAGAGATTTAACAAAGTAAATACAAATTCTGCAAATTTTTAGGAACTTTTTGGACTAATAATATTAAAGTAAGCTTTAATTTTTGTCAGTATGTTAGCCTTAAAATTAATATATTATTTAAAATAAAAAAGAATGTGTGGTGAGTCCGTTTCAACTAGTCAGTCCAGACCATGTATATTGTGGTTTTACTAAAACTAAACTTTTTAACTTTCCTCATATCAGTGTTAGATAATTCTTTAAAATAGTTAACAGTTAAATAAAACAACTACAATGCCCATCAGAACTCTGGTCTCACTCTAAATACTGATTTTTTTTCTTTTTCAAAATTTTATGGATTTGGTCTCTGAGAGCTCACTTCATCCATTATATAAAGAATATGAAAAAAAGTGAAGAGAAGGATCTTAGATATTTTAAATAGCATTTACATTTAAAAATTAATATTAGTTATTTTAGGATTGCAAACTTAGTTGGGCTGCTGATTTTAGGATTATATAATTCTTGTTTGCCTTTATTGTACAAAATGAAGGTCATGTCTAACAAAGCCACTGACTTACTTGACAGCTCTGGAGCCTCCCAGCTCAATTGCCTGGGATTTATACAAGATAAAATTACAGTGTGTGCAACAAACGACTCGTATCAGATGACACGAGAAAGAATGACCCAGGCAGAGGAGGAATCCCGCAACCGAAGCACAAAAGTTATCAAACCCGGTGGACCATATGTAGGTTTGTATAGATATCTTTCTTCCTCTTGCTGATTGATTGGAGTAATTCAAGATCACCATAGGTAAATACCAGTAATATTAACTTAATGAAAACACAGAAACTAGTTTTCAGAACATTTTGGATAACATGGTGAGAAAAACAAAGTTATTTGTTCTCTTCAGACTGCCAGTAAATTGAAGAGCATATTTTAAAGTTCTATGACTTTCCTAAATCCTGAATCTTCGTTGGCTACTTACTATTATTTTATAGTACTGGGATCTGGTCACATTACTGCGTGAAGTTGCAATCGTGGTACCGTTGTGTTTTCTTTGTCACTAGATGATGTAATTTCAGTGATGGATACTATGGTTCTTGTTTTGCCTTTTTGTAGGGCTATTTTTATAGTAAAATCTATTAGTAGAATTTATGGGTTGATAATCTCATTGTTGTAGATTTTGCTTACATTTTCAGAGCATCTTTGTACAACAAGGATTTTTCATTACAAAAATATAAAATGTGCTTATAGCAAAGCATTACAACAGAGCATTAGACTGATGTCTCTTTGGTTCCTCAGTTGTGATCCTCATCCTCATCTATCCATTAATTAAGACCCTATCCGACCCCCATCATTTTTATCATTAGCTCACTCAAGTGTCTGTCAGATTGAAGGGAAGTAAGACCAGACTTGCAAGATGAGTCTCTCCTTTATGAGCAGTGACCTTAACAACTTTAAGGAGTCAATTCATGGTGACTATTAACAGTAATAGAATTATCAAGAGTGAGGAGGAGCTCTTTGAGTCCTTGGTCAATTTAATAACACAAGTCACTCTATAGTAAATGATGAAAGGATATTAATTTGGAAACTTAAACGCTCACAGAAAGTCTCTTGAAGAACCAAGTCCCTTAACTAGCATCTTTCCAGGGTTTGGCTTCATTCTACTTCTGTATTTTCCCACTGCTGATCCAGCTACAGTACATTCAGCTTTGAGAAGCTCCACTAGTGTCTTTAATAAGTACTTCTTTGGAACAAAGCAAATGCTCCTGGGGCTTGGTGCTTAGCTTAGATACATTTAGTTTGGTTTAACAACAATTCATCCCCTCCCCAGATATTTGTACCCATGGGGCCTAGTTCCCTGCTCAGTAAGTTACTAGCAATGAGACTTTTCACCTCTCTTTCCTGCTGAGTGAGGTAGCAACTTCCAGCCTCCTTTCTTTCTCCTTTATCCCCAGAAGTAACTTAATTAACTTTCTGGGTTAGTAGACTAAATCTCAAATTGTTTTTAAAACACACAAGATCTACCACACTTACATTTAAGTATAAACTATGAATGATCTACCCCTGTTGCTTGGAAAATGTTGTTTTCCTCTGCCCAATACCACCATTTTATAAACAGTGAGGCAAATTGTTGTGTTTGACAAAGGAATAGAAGACTGAAACCATCAAAACAATATTTTTCCTTCCCGATATAACTAGCTGAAAAAAAAACCCTCCCCTTGATTTATTCCAAAGCTTGAAAATCAGCGATGATGACTGCACTTTTCCATTGAATGGTCCTTGGGTGTCATCTGTGTTCATGTGTTTTTGTTTGTTTTCAAAGAGTCAAGTACAGTTTGTTTATAGCTTACACAACAGACTTCAACACCCAAAATCCCACAGTCCATACACTTCCTAATGGTACTGGGAATTTTAGAACTTGCAAGGTTTCTTATAGATACTACAAATAATTTACATACATTTTGGAGGTGACCACAGGAAATTTGAGGTTATCAGAGTTTACATGTGAACCAAATTATACCTCCCCTCTCCTAAGAAGAGCTGGCCTCCCTCTGTACACCCTCTTCCTCCCTGCAGAGGCTTGCATCGATCTCGGCCAATCCGGGCACTCTGTAGGCCTTTTCCTCTTTGCTTTGTCCTCAGTGTCCTAGCCACTCACCGTCACAGCAGTGTTCTTCTGTGGTCATAAATCTTTTCTTAACCTCCTCAGCCTTTTATTCTCTAGGTCAAATAACCCCAGCTCCTTTTATCTTTTCTTAGTATGGCCTGTATCCCAACCCCTTGATTATTTTATTGCTCTCCTCTGGACTGCCTCCAATTCTTCGCCTCAGAGTTCAAAACTGGCCACACTATTCTTAAAAGTCTGAGCAAGGCCGGGTGCGATGGCTCACGCCTGTAATCTTAGCACTTTGGGAGGCCGAGGCGGGCAGATCACGAGGTCAAGAGATCGAGACCATCCTGGCCAACACCAACATGGTGAAACCCTGTCTCTACTAAAAATACAAAAATAAATTAACTGGGCATGATGGCGTGCACCTGTAATCTCAGCTAAGCGGGAAGCTGAGGCAGGAGTATCGCTTGAATCCGGGAGGTGGAGGTTGCAGTGAGCCGAGATTGTGCCACTGCACTCCAACTTGGAGACAGAGCGAGACTCCGTCTCAAAAAAAAAAAAAGTGTGATCATTTCTGAATACAGGGGAGCAATGGATTCAAGTATCCTGATTGGCTTTTTTGTTTTCTGTTTTGATTTTTTTTTTTACTGTATTTTGTTAGGTCATGTTTTGATCTTTTTCTTTTAACCTTATCCATTGCCAGCTCTTTCTCATATATTGTTTTCCTTCCAGGCAGCTCAGTCTGTATCTTCCTGCCTCTTTGGGTGTCTCAAAACTGTCTGATTCATCCAGTTCTTTAAAATATCAATCACCCTTCAATACTAACAAAACCCAGCACTTATTGAGTGCCTGCTGTGCACAAGGCACTGGTTAGCACTCACATGTAGTTACTCATTGGAATCTCATAATCACCCGATGAAGAATGTTATTATTCTCTCTGTATTTTACATACCAAATTGTTGGTATCAGCAAATAGCAAATTATATGAGTGTGATCTCATTAACAAGTTCTGTGCTTTTCTTAAGACAGTAAGATATACCCCTTTAATTAATAATAGACTATATCACATAAAATGATGCCAGAAGTTTACCTATGCCAGCTTCGAGGTACCTGCAGGACAAGGTTTCTTTCAACAATGTCAGCCTGGGTAGAAGACCAATGAGAATAATGCTGATCCCACTGTGGCATGGTGGTAGCGTGATGACGGCTGACAGCTAGACTAGGGAGGAAGGCCAGTTTGAGGCAATGAAGACTGTGTTCCTAGGGGTCACCTGGCCTCATTGCCCAGGAATATGAGTTTCTGCAACCCTCTCGTGGGCAGAAGAAACCAAAATCTATTTGCCTAGAGAGGAGCAGGAAAGGCTTTAACCTAGAAAACATTATCTTCCAGTAATATTTTTACTTGTATTCATGACATTTATATCAGTGGTAAACACTGATATAAAAAAAAAAATCACTCGTCACCACTGCTTCTAATTCACCGATATTTTAAGTCTGCTCACTGACTTCTACCTAAATTTTGGAAGTGTATTAAATTATGAATTTTTATATGTACTAATATTTGTTTAGGTGTACAAAATAACCAATCTAATTTCTAGGATTCTGTTTCCAATTTTTCCAACTTCCAGCCCACCCTCCTTATTATTTTTTTCAATTTCTACTCTTTGTGAACAAACCTCCTTATTTTTGATGACAGACAAATCATTTAACATCTTACTTTTCTCAAATATTAAAAAAAAAGGTGGGTATTTGAACTAGACAAGATCTAAGGTCCTTTGTAGTGCTAACATTTTGTGAATGTTCAGTATATATATTTTGGTAGTAAACTTTTTGAAAAAGTAGTCACAAATGCCAAGTGGTGGAGATTTCCCTTGCAATGGATTATGTAGTTAACCATGACAGAGTCATGTCATTGTCATGAGCCTGCAGATGTTTTTAAAGCCTTGGGTCTGTGTTGCCAGGCTTCTGGTCAGGTTCCACAGAATGGAAAAACAACTGCAGAAGATGGCTGCAGTCCCTTCTGTCTTTGTGATGGATGTTTTAACACCTTCCTTTCAGACTGTTTACTCAAAGCCATTAGACTGAGGGGTAAATACTTTTGCTATCTTTATTAAATGAAGAAGCTAGAATTGGACTCCTTGTTATGAAACAGCGATTTAGTTGTTGTCCCAGACTACCCAACCCTGTCGGACCCACTGCTGCTGTTTATATAAAGAGCCCAGGGAGTTGATTAGCATTTGGGTCTGGGAAGAGAATTAGGTTCTCCCATAGGTTTTATTAAAATGGCTTTTTTCTGAGGCAAATATAAAAAATAAATCCTTTCTTCTGCCCACTTTGAACCTGACATTTTCTTGCTTTACTTTTTCATTTTTTCTTTTAGCATCTCAATTCTGTAAGTACCTTTATCACTGATGTTTTCTTCATCTGTAGCCTGTCTTTCCTTAAACCAGAGGATTCCTTCCTTGTCGAATAGGCACAAAAGGGATGGGGAGGTAGTGAACAAGTGATCTTTGAGTATAATTCAGTGGTCCAGTGTGGCTGAGTTGTTCTTTCAAGCATTTGAATGAAATATGAGTTAACCCCTAACTTGCTGTCTAAAAGAAAAATGAGGTAAAGGACAAAGTGAGTGTTTTGGGGGTAGGGGATTCATGGGGAGATGACAGTCTAGCAATGGGCCCCAAGTAAAACTCTAGTTCTGTCTTCACTTGATCAGGCTCTTACTTTCTTGCCAAACATCATACTTATATCCCTTTTAAGGGCAAAGTTAGCCTCCCTTATTTGTCTTCTCCATACCTGCTTTGGGGAAGCATGGGGATAAACCCAGTAGACCTTGGAGACCTCCTGAGATAAGGATCAGAGGTGAATCAGAGGTACAGAGGAGGTAGGGCACCTGAAAACAGTGGCAGTACTGTTAGTTTCTCTTTTTATTTTTATTTGCCTTGCTGCTTGAATTCATCCTAAATGACCAGTCCTAGTGTGTGTAGCTTAGCTAACAAACATTCTCTGCCCATCCCCCTTCCCAGAAAGAAAGAAGGGCTTCACTGTTAGCTTGGTTTGGAAAAGAGTTAAACAAATTTCTTTTTTGCAAGACTTGTTAAGGGGGAGGGAGTGTGGAATTTATAGCATTTTCTAAACTTGTGAACTTGACTCTATTTTTAAAAAATATTTCCTATTAAAATTTTAAGGAATGCTAATGTTTGTTAACGCTGTTGCAACTGGGAAATGGTGGATTAAATGGTTTCCCTTTGCCACATTAGAAATTTCAGTGTGTATTCACACTGGCAGCCTGGCAACGTGGGGAAGTATGGACTGTGTTGATTCCTGCTCCTCTGCTTACTTGCTCTCTCGCTGTCATTCATTTAGTCATCAAATACTGATTTAAGGCATGCTAGTGGACAAAGCAGCCACTGCCCTGCCCTCATAGAGCTTATAGCCTAACACAAAGCAACAGCAAACATTAGGCATTTGTTCATAAAACCTTTCCCACAAAGACTTACAGGCAGGAAAATTAGGTATTAATCAAATCACAGAACCTCCCAAATGCTAAGTGAGGATTTTACCCTTTGAGCATATCCCATTAAAAGCCTCAGTTTTCTCATCTGTGAAAGGGGACGGTACCTGCCTTTTCAGGTGAAACCTAGTGAGATAATGTGTATGCAGCTCTTAGCACAGTGTCCCCCACATAATTGGTGCATAAGTTTCCAGCTGATGTAAGAAAAATACAGAAACCCCAATCTAAATCTATCTCTGAAACTCTAATTATAACTTAAGTTTTTGTTATCATTAGGCAGTGTCCCCTTAATGTTGAGTTCCTTTGTTGTGTAATAGTTTGATATTTGCAATTGGTTTTGTACAGATAGTAAAGAAACATACCAGCCAGTAGAGGTTTCAGTTTGAGAGCATTCATCTTTTTTCCCTTACTGGAGGTAGGATGGAATCAAAACACACAGGCCTTCTGACCAGGCCTGGGGAGCCCAGCATGGACAGAATTACTATTCAGTAAAGCTCCTGCCCCAGTGAGCTGTTTTCACCCCAGACCACAGCTTATAGGAGCTGCTTTTACCCACCCATTATTTCTAGTTGTTAGTCTTGTTCCTAATGCACTTGTCCACATCGTATGTCATTACAAGTTCTTCCCCTTCTTTAACCAGAGGGCATAGAATTGGGGCTTAGTGTGTCCTAAACAAGCTAAAAGATTCCACCTGTAGAATCATAAAATGAGAGTCTCACACAGTTTCATGCTACTTTTTGTCTCTTCAGCAAGGAACGGTTGCTGGGATTGTCAGTGACCAGGCATGTCTGGATAGCTTCACACATACACATAATGCCCGGTTCACCTCAGCCCACACATGTTCTAGAAGTAGCCACTTGCCAAGTGTCAGTGTTCAGTCTAAACAGCAAATGGGTTAACCACATGAACAGCACTGGCCCATGTGAGAATGGTGTGAAGGCCTCCTTTGTACCATTTTCCATTTCTCTAACTCACATGTGTAGTCTCAGCACTGCAGAGGACAGATTTGTTTGTGCCCTCTGAGACTGGTTGGTTGGTTGGTTGGTTAGTTTTGTTTTATGAATCCTAAAATTTGTCTTGGCCTGTAAAAAAAAAAAATATATATATATATATATATCACTAACGGATGCCTCATGATGTTGACCTCCCCCCTCTTTGTGGCTTCTGAACGTGTGAAATTACTAACGTAATGCTCAGCCAAGAGTGTGTTCTTAGAGAGGTCTGACAGGTATTTCTGACATTTCACCATGTTCACTGTATTATAGTTTGCTTTTCAGAAATGGCATATATTTATTTAAGATATAAGTTATCAAGTCTGTTGTTACAGTTTGTGTTACTAGTTATTATCTTTCTGTAGCAAAATGACCAAAATACATGCATTATACATATTATTTCCAAGAAATGATTTTATTAAAATAATTTCTAATTCAAATTTTAGACCATTTATTTAAAATGCTTTCTGTTTGCATGCCTTCTTAAAGATTGAAATAAAGTGGCCTTTATTATTATTTCCTCTAGAAATGAAGAGGTACCTAAATCAGAATTGTGGAAACTGAGGTGCTCATATTGTAACCCACAAATGTGTAACAATGTCATTTCCACTGGACTTTAGGGAAAAGAGTGCAAATTCGGAAAGCACCTCAAGCTGTTTCAGATACAGTTCCTGAGAGGAAAAGGTCAACCCCCATGAACCCTGCAAATACAATTCGAAAGACACATAGCAGCAGCACCATCTCTCAGAGGCCATACAGGGACAGGGTGATTCACTTACTGGCCCTGAAGGCCTACAAGAAACCGGAGCTACTTGCTAGACTCCAGAAAGATGGTGTCAATCAAAAAGACAAGAACTCCCTGGGAGCAATTCTGCAACAGGTGAGGACAGCTGGAGAGAGGTCCTTCCTGCTTACCTTCTTGTTAAAATGTTCATTTAAAAAAGCTTGTTGTCATTATTATCATTATTATTGAGATAGAGAAATTTTAGGATTATTTTGATCAGTGGTATGTGAAATACAACTCCTGAATATTAAGTTAAATCATCTCATTTTAAGCACTTAATTAAAAACTAGTTGAAATGTGAGCATTGTCTTTATTTGGGACCAACAAATTTTGTTCTCAAATTCCATTAAAAAGAAAGTAAGAAGTGTTTGTTATCTGTTTTTAGTGTTGAATACACTAAAGTATTGCCTTAATTTGTATTGATTATTGTCGGTGAAATTGTGCAATGTATTCTATTGGCCTTTGATTGGTATAAGCCAGAACATTTTTTGCCTACTAAATAGTTTAAAATGTATCTTGCCCCACATACTTTGTGCTGCCCTTATTACTCTATCTTTTTCTGCCACTAAGTGTGCCAAGATCAGTCATTTGTCTGCATAAAAGCATATGAAATTGTAATGTATTAGCAGTGATCCCATACTTTATCACAAGCTTACGTGTAAGAAAGTAGGCCATTGTTTTTTAAAGTCAGTGGTTTGTTAGACTATAACCTCCTACATATTTTTTTCTTCCTTCCTTCTGTCCATCTGTCATAAATCTTTATGAGCATTCAGATCCACCATAAATGGTGGTCCATCTTTTTTACTTTTTCTAAGGAAATAACATTTCCAAAGAAGTTATTCTGAATCTCATCATTTAAAAAAAAAAAAAACCCTACAGGTTTTGATCTGTTATTCAAAGAGTAACATTTCAAGTCTATTTTTTTATCCATTATCTCTTACATTCACAACATAATACTAAATGTTATGAAAGGGTAAGACCATTGTCTCCAATTCAGGTTAGCCAGTCCCCAAGGTATCTCAATCAATCTTAAGGATCTTTATTAAGTCCTTTAGCACTTTTTGGAAATAATTTAAATCCATATGTCACATAGCAGTTTTAAGAGCTCAAAAGAAAGAGAATAAATGAGAATGAGGGTGTGTGTGTTCAGTTTGATATCTGGAGAAGCAGTGAGAGTCAGGTTACAAATCACAAAGCATTTGGTAACTGCATCTCCAGAAAAGTTGTGAATTAGCTTCTCAGTTTGATAATGGAGAAGGCAAAATGACTGCAGAGGCAATTCACACATAGACTACTATTGATATATGGCAGTAATTATGTGATTGTGTATATACATATAGATATCTAAATATATATATATATACGTGTGTGTGTGTGTGTGCGCGTATCTCAAAGTGTAGATAAACTTTACCCCCAAGCGAGGCATGAGAGTTATTAGTGTTGATCATTTGATAGAATCTAGAGCATCATCTCATCCTGGTAACATATTAGAATCCCTTGGGTAGCCTTTAAAACATGCCAGTGCCTGAACTCCACCTGAGACCAACAAAAGCCAAGTATCTGAAGGTGGGGCCTAGGCACTCATATTCTATATGGCCCTAATGATTCTAATATACGAGCTGAAACCACTGGCCTAGTGAAAACACAGAAAGGCTAACAACATCGACCATTTTTTGAGCATATACTATGTGCCAGGCACAGTGCTAGGCATTTCACGTGCACGATCTCATTTATCCTCCCAAGAAAGATATCAGGCATATTCATAACTTTGACATAAACCAATTATACCTAAATTCCCTTTCCTGAACATTGCTAGCAGCTAACAAAAAAAAATAAAATGACTTTGCTCTAATAAAACTGACCAAAAGTAGGCACCAGAGAAAAGAAGAGCCGCAAGATACATACAAATCATCCCAAAATTGGTTATTCTGTCCCAGACAAACTAGTTGGGAAACAAGTTACCTAAAATAATTAATCAGGCTTTGCCTGTGCCAGTAGAGATAATTTGCTTATTTGTTACTTACACAGTAGTTTTCAGAACCCTGTGGACATTATTAATTCATCAAAGTAATAGGTTTTTAAAATAAACTAAGATGTTGGCTCCCGGTAAAATTTGTACCTAAATTTAAAAGTGCTTAACATCCACCAGGAAATTTGTGTATTGCTGTTTATTATTAAACTGGTATGTATTAATAAAACCTTTTTTTCTTAGAATGACCTTTTATGGAAAAACTAAATTTTAACAATCAGAAACTAGATAAAGTTGAATAATGTATCCAGCTTAACATTTGGATATTTGGCTCAAGCTCAACATTCATTCATTCAATTCAACTTATTAAGTACCTACAGTGTACCAGACACTGTTTTAAATGCTGGAATCCCAAAGTAACCCCAATAGAAACCCTGCCCTCATGGAGCTTATTCATGAGACAATTTCAGGACCAGTGAGGAGTTGAAAGGAGCTGGGGAAGGAATCCTCTGCTTTAAGTGGAGAGATCAGGGAACCTTTTCTCAGATGGCTGCATTTTAGACTGCATTTAGACTGCATTTAAGACTTCTACGGCAAGAATGGCTTGGAGGGGCAGGAGTAGAGGAGAGAGACTACTTAAAGAGCCTAATATTTTGTGATAAGACTTGCTAACGGTTAGGTGTAGGGAGACAATGAGGGGAAGAACGGAATCTGTGATTATAGCTAGGTTTTTGGCTGAGCAATTGAATGGATATTGAGCCATTGACTGAGATGCGGAAGGATGGAAAAGAAGTAGGATTAAGGGGGAGAAGAGGATCAGGAATTCTGTCTTATATAGACTCCATTTGGAAGATGTCTATTAGACATATCCAAGTGGAGATAGATGTCAGTAGATAGTTATATGTAAGGGTGTGGTTGTCAGAGGATAGTTGGGGCTAGAGTTATAAATTTAGGAATTAGCAGCATATATATTGGGTATTGAAAGTCTTCAAACTTAATGAAATCATCTTAGGAGGAAATGAACAGAATGAGGAAAACAGAGCAGAAAACAGGCACTAAGTACTTTAGCATTTCAACATATAGAGGATTGAGAAACAGAGACTTAAAAAACAAAGGTCCTAGGCCAGGCGCCGTGGCTCACCCCTGTAATCCCAGCGCTTTAGGAGGCCGAGGTGGGGGGATCACGAGGTCAGGAATTCGAGACTAGCCTGGCCAACATGGTGAAACACATGGTGAAACTCTGTCTCTACTAAAAATACAAAAATTAGCTGGGCATGGTGACAGGCGCCTATAATCCCAGCTACTCAGGAGGCTGAGGCAGGAGAATTGCCTGTATCTGGGAGGCAGAGGTTGCAGTGAGCTGAGATCATGCCACTGCACTCCAGCCTGGGCGACAGAGCAAGACTCTGTCTCGGAAAAAAAAAAAAAAAAAAAAAAAAAAGGTCCTAAGAGAGGCGGAAACCAGGAGAATGTCCTATTACAAAAACCTAGAAAATGGATTGCTGTGGGGGTGGGGGTGTCAATGTGTGTAGTGCTGGGGGTAAAAGAAAATGGAAGCATTGCCAGTGGGGCGTAGTGGCTCACACCTATAATCCCAGCACTTTAGGAGGCCAAGGGAAGATTGCTTGAGCCCGGGAGTTTGAGACCAGTCTACACAATATGGTGAAACCCCATCTCTACAAAAAATACAAAATACAAAAACTAGCCGGGCATAGTGGTGTCCACCTGTAGTCCCAGCTACTCAGGAGGCTGAGGTGGGAGTACCACCTGAGCCCAAGAAGTCAAGGCTGCAGTGAGCCATGTTCCTGCCACTGGACTCCAGCCTGGGTGACAGAGTGAGACCTTGTCTCAAAAAATGAAAAAGAGTAAGAAGAAAGAAAAAAGAAAATTGATGGATTGTGTTTATTCCACCTCAAGAAATCTGGGTGTATACTATATTAACTTATTTGCAAATTTGAATTTTGCAAATTTGAATTTTAAGATAAACCTATTTTCTCCTTAATAGAAACATTACTGTTAGAATAGTGTTCAGCTAAGTTGTGAGAAGCATAAACTATCATATTTGTTAGTACTTTTAAAAGACACAGAAAGAATGATCTATTCCAGTAGGAAGTCATAAGCAAGAGTAATTTTCTCCTAGCCTTAAAAATTAATTACTTTTGGTTTGGCACGTGAACCTGTATGTTTGTGTAGTTAGTTAATGGCTAAGCCGCGAAACTCTAGGAATTGCAGTTAAGGGATAAGAAAAGATTACACTTCGGAATAAACTGGCTGACTAATAACAGTAATTTGGGGGTTCTCTAGGCATATGTTTTCATTTATTGGTTTGGGGAATTTCAAGGACTTTGAGTAAGTGGTTCTTCAGGAGAACTGGCAGATATAAGGAGCAAGCGTGGTTATCCAAAGAAAGACAGACAAGGTTATCAGAATTGATACTATTTATGAAGACAGTGTTTGGTTGATGACTGAAAGGAAAGTTTGTAACCCAACATTTGGGCACTGTTTGGTTTCTACTTAATACAAGTGATCAAGGATTTTTATTGTGACTCAAAAGTAATGGACTCAATTGCCCAGAAGTAAATAAGGATGTTGGTAATACAGTAGTCCTTATCCGTGGTTTCACTTTCTGGGGTTTCAGTTACCTATGGTCAACCATGATCCAAAAATATTAAAAGGAAAATTTCAGAAGTAAACATTTTGTTAGTTTTAAGTAGCACGCTGTTCTGAGAAACGTGATGAGACCTCACATTGTCCTGCTCTGTCCCGCCCAGGATGTGAATCATCCCTTTGTTTAGCTTTACATTGTAGATGCTACCCACTCATTAGTCACTTGGTAGCCATCTTGGGCCATTATTAAGTGCAGTAAGGGTTACCTGGACACATGCACTGAGATACCACAGCAGTGGATTGGATAACCCTCTGTATGTCCCCCATTAGTCACTAGCCATCTCCGTTTTCAAATCGACTGTTGTAATATCATAGTACTTGTGTTCAAGTAATCCTTATTTTACTTAGTAATGGCCCCAAAGCGCAAGAGTAGTGTTGCCAGCATGTTGGCATAATTGCTCTATTTTATTAGTAGTTATTGTTAATCTCTTACCATGCCTAATTTATAAATTAAACTATCAGGTATGTATGTATAAGAAAAAAACAGTATATATAGGGTTCGTTACCATCGGAGTTTTTAGGCATCGACTGGGGGTGTTTGAGTGTATCCTTTGAAGATAAGGAGGGGACTACTGTACAACTGTTTTGGATTCCTTTGACTAAAATAATTGATTTTTTTAAAATCTTCACTTTTTTCCTAATATGGGCTTATTATCTGATTAGAAATATTAAAAATGCAATGGCCATTCTGGGAAAAAAACATTTAGCTGTGTATATAAAGCTTTAATTCCCAAAATGAAGTTAATGGCATTTATTGAGATCTGGCATATAATACAAAACTAGCAGTCCCTTTGGGGCCAATTGATGTAATTATTTTCAGTGTAAATCCTAAAGGTTGCCTGTTTTAGGTTAGGAGATGATAGTAAAAATACCTAATGCTCTGTTTTTATACCTCATACTAGGTAGCCAATCTGAATTCTAAGGACCTCTCATATACCTTAAAGGATTATGTTTTTAAAGAGCTTCAAAGAGACTGGCCTGGATACAGTGAAATAGACAGACGGTCATTGGAGTCAGTGCTCTCTAGGTGAATTCTTTTTTTCTTGCTTTTAAAAAAATGTTTCTTTAAAAATTATGGAAATAAGTCATTATTTTAGTCATTGTTATTTTAGTGTTAAGGTGGGAAGGGAAGCAAGGCAAGCTTTCTATCATGAACATTTTTAAATCATCTCCTTAACACATAACATGTGTGTCCTTTACAGAAAACTAAATCCGTCTCAGAATGCTGCAGGCACCAGCCGTTCAGAATCTCCTGTATGTTCTAGTAGAGACGCTGTATCTTCTCCTCAGGTATGTCATAAACATAGAATTATAGACCTGACATAGATATTAGGGGCCTCTAATCAGGTCCTCTGATGTATAAGTGAAGGAAATGAGACCCGGAGAAGCTGGACAGCTTGCCTGCCCAAAGCCATCTGGTTATGGCTGAGCTTAGCCTAGAATTTAGGTCTTGGCTTCCAGCCCAGAACTTTCTCCACTACACAGCACTGCTTGTCAGAGTACTTAATGTCTACCTTGCTTTCCATTTTTAAAGTTTACATTTTGTTGTAAGATTATCTACTTTCCAATTTGGTCACTAACTAGAAGACTTACCCAGTCCCAAACAATTATCAGATTATATGGAAAATTGAAGATACTTAATTTTGTCTGTCAACATGTTCCAGAAGAATATTTTTTGGGGAAAATGGATTTACAATCAACAAATAAACAAAAATGATGGCATGTTTCCATGTTTTCTTTTTAATTGGATCCTTATCAGAGTACTCCCAATCAGATTCTTCTCCAGTTTAGAGTTTTCCCCCAAGAGATTCAGCTCATCCAAGAAAAAGGTGAGAAGGTCCTAGGCAGTACTAGAGTGAAGCCTGCCTGATTCTCAGCTGATTGGCCAAACTCAGAACTCTCTCGGTGTTCTGGGTGCTTTTGACAGACAGTGGGACGCACCTCCCCACCCCAGTACTGCTGACACAGTGTCTTCCCTCTCTCTCTCTGGACCTTACTCCCAAGAATTAGTGAGAAGCCCACAGATGTGTGGAGAACACTAAGCATACCCTGGGCAAACAGCCATTCGCACATCAGAAAATATTAGAAACTTATTGTGAGGAACAGAGGGGGAACAAAAAAGAAAAAGGAAAAAAAGCAGGTCTGTCCTTGCATATATACAATGTCTGTGGAAGTCTCACTTTTAATGCCAACTATTATGAAACTACTTCTACTCTGATCAAATTATATACTAGGTGCCAAATAAATGGTGTTAAATTGAAAACAAAATAATGAGTTGATTAACCATTATTTTCTTTCAAGCCAGAATACAAGCTACAGCATTACATTTAAGCATAAATGTGAATTTATATTTTATAGTTTTCAACTATCTAAATTTCCTTTTTAACTTAAATACTATTATTGTTGTTGACAGATTAGGCTACTATTACCATGATTTTTTTTAAAGTACTTCCACCTAATTTTAATGGACCAATTATTAAGACTTATCTTCCAATCTGGTAAAGAGATATGTAACGGTAAAAAAAAAAATTAAATAGCATTTCAACAGTGATAGAGATAATTAGAGAAACTATTCTGAAAGTGCTGGCTGTTCCCACTCTAAGACAGGTGGAATGATAAATGACAGCCAAAATACTCTTAACTGGAGCATTTTAGCCCATTAAAGATTAAAATAAGTGCAGGCTATTGCCCTTTACCTAGCTGTGTTAGTTCTCACAGAGTCAAACGGCACAAATTGCTTTCTCTTCTCATTTAATATAACTAGGTCAACCACAGCCAGCAATGGAGGGTGACTGCCTCTGTTTAATACTCTCCTGAGTGGTATAATCCACATAAATCAGCATAGTCTCTCTTGGAACTTAGGGTAAAGCTGTATGATTAGAAAGAATTCAGTAAGCACTTCAAGAAACATTTGCCAGATTCTGCTTTTTGACATTAAACATGAAAATGTATTTCACATTTGGTTTTGTGTTGTTGTTGTTCTGGTTTAGTTTTTGTTTGGGTTTTTTGTTTGTTTGTTTTTTGCTTAAGCATGAAGAAAGCGTGTAATATTACAACCCTGGTAATATTAATAGTAAGTAAGGTTACTTAGTTGTTTAACCAGCCATGCATGTATTGAATTTATTTAATTTTAGTGCAAACTGGCTCACTTTTCTCCTTTTCCCTCCCCTAGAAACGGCTTTTGGATTCAGAGTTTATTGATCCTTTAATGAATAAAAAAGCCCGAATATCTCACCTGACGAACAGAGTACCACCAACACTAAATGGTCATTTGAATCCCACCAGTGAAAAATCTGCTGCAGGCCTCCCGCTGCCCCCTGCGGCTGCTGCCATCCCTACCCCTCCACCGCTGCCTTCAACCTATCTGCCCATCTCACATCCTCCTCAGATTGTAAATTCTAACTCCAACTCCCCTAGCACTCCAGAAGGCCGGGGGACTCAAGACCTACCTGTTGACAGTTTTAGTCAAAACGATAGTATCTATGAGGACCAGCAAGACAAATATACCTCTAGGACTTCTCTGGAAACCTTACCCCCTGGTTCCGTTCTACTAAAGTGTCCAAAGCCTATGGAAGAAAACCATTCAATGTCTCACAAAAAGTCCAAAAAGAAGTCTAAAAAACATAAGGAAAAGGACCAAATAAAAAAGCACGACATTGAGACTATTGAGGAAAAGGAGGAAGATCTTAAGAGAGAAGAGGAAATTGCCAAGCTAAATAACTCCAGTCCAAATTCCAGTGGAGGTATTTTACCTTTAGATGAACCAGAAGTGCATGCTATCATGAGTTTGAAATTACACAGTTTATAATTAGTAATTTCTTTAGCAAATGACGTTTCATTTAATTATTAATCTTAGTGTTGTGCTTTTGAGCAGTTTTTTTTTTTTTTTTTCATTTTACAGCAGTTGTTTTCCATCTCTTTTTGGCCAACTATTAAACATGATTTCTATATTAATAAGAATGGCATTTGAAAATGACTGTCATACTTGAGACTCCTTTTTGGAAGGTGGACCTTTAACATTCTTTTCCATATCTGTTATGATATTGTGCAGCCTCAGCATGACCTATTATATGCCATTCTTGAACTGATTTAATCAGACACAATTTGCAATAAGAATATTCATTTCCTTCTTTCTCAATGAAACAGGGTCACCCTTGCTTCAATTAATATTAGCACAGGGGAAAGGTCAACTTTTTAATAAATCAGGCCAAGATAAAATTTCATTTGCAGATTCATAACATCATCTTTATTTAGAGTGAAAACACTTTGTCTTTTGCAAGACTGTTGGCTAGCGTTCGCTTAATAGATCTTAAGGTTTAGGGGTTTTTCCCCCAATTTTGAGAGTCCTGTTTTAGTGAACTAACATCAATTGTTATTTGTAAAATTAGCCATTTCAAAGCTTTAGGAGCTTAAATGCTAAATATCTAGAGATCCAAAGAAACTTAAAGCTTTACCTCTAAAGAAAAGCTAATTCATAAAAAGCTTGCTTGCCTAAGATGTCCTGAGTGTTAAAAACTGACAAAATTAGATTTTTCTTATTTAAAAAATATGTCCTCTAAAACTTAATTCCTTGCATGCCACCACATAGAAGATCCAAGTTCACCATTTGGCATTGCTGCCAGTTTTAAAACCAGAATAACTAAGGCAAAATTCCATAGGAAAATATGGCTTTGGAAAAATTACTTTAATGAGTAGAGTTATAAGGAGTGTTGTCTTTCTGTATTTTGCTCATGATTCTGAAAGTCTGTAATCCTTAGATTTAATTGACCATCTTTGCCATATGAGAGAAGCTCTATTTTCTTTTAGTGTTACTTCCAAAGAAGCCGCTGTAGAATATGATATGATATGTGCTTTTCTTGATCTAGATTGGATACATTGCATGTCAAAGCATTTCTGTTTAAATATTTCAGTCAATATAATACTATGTAATGGCACAAAAGGTAGGTGTAAGCTTTTTCCCTCAACACTCTTATAGTTGAATTTGTCAGGTCAGGAAAAGAAATGAAGTAGAACTCTATGTTCAGAGTTCATAAGCCACTGGGTAAACTCCACTCTCCACACTTTCCACCCTCAGGTGGTGCTTCTGAGTCAAAGGCTAGAGACAGGAAAACTGGATTTCAGTATGTTGAGATCTACATCAGAGTTCCAAGTGTTCTCAGAGTTGGAGACCTGGAGAAGCAGACTTAGTCTCTTTGAATTCTTTACTGAGGATATAGTAACTTTCAGAACCAGTTGCGATAATTACAAAGTTAGGAAAGCTCTAGACCCACATCCCCTGCATTTTTTGGAATTTATCTGGTGTCTATGGCAGAAGGGAAGCCAGGTGACCTGCACTTGATGCCTTTCTCTTTAAGACTCAGACTATCGTAAAAGCATGTTCTTTTACCCAAGCATGAATTTATAGGTGAGCAGCATGCACTCAGAGTCTATGTATTAATATTTGTTTAGGGTACTTTGTCCTTTAAAATATTAAACCGAGAAATTACCTAACATTCACTTTTATATGTTTTGCCAGTGGGCATGATTAGGGTTTGAGTTATCAGTTTAACCCTACTTTCAATGATAAAAAATTACCCTGATAAAGAATCTAAACATATCCTCTGGACATGGTGCATTTAAGCAAATGGCATACTGAGGGATTTACATACTTTCACTGTGTAGCCACAATGTTTAGCACTTCTTTTGTCCTTAAAAAAAAAAAAATCTGTTTAGTGTTATGAGTGCTAGAGATTATAGGAATATAAATCGACATTCAATAATACCTTATTTTAAATTACTTTAAACCAATGGGAAAACTTTCTACCAAATTCCACTGTCTGCATACAAAAAAGGGAGGCAATAAAAATACAGTGACCAAAGCAGTCGGCTACCTGACTCTATTGTCTCATCCGCCTTGTTTGAATCCCATGAAAAGTAGATGTTGATGTAAAATTTGTATCTCCCATTGTCTGGCTGCATCTGCCACCACAATCTTTGAATTGCTGGGCAGATGCCACAACTGTTGTTGAAAGAATAGAAGACTGACCTTGGGTTAAGATGGAATTCCTTTATTGTGCAGACACTGCAGTAGCCAGGGTGCTTTAAATGCCTGGCGTCGGTTCTGCTGGCGCTGGTCATAGGGCCTCTATTGTTCATGTTCAATTGTATTCCTTGCTCACTGTTGCTTATTGAGATGGAAGAATAGAATTTGAGGAAAAGTGTTCCAGATGTTTCTAATCTATTTTAGAATTACAGGCATTTGATAACCTTCGTAGTTGATGAATGCTCTGATTTTGTTTTTTTTCTTCATAGGAGTTAAAGAGGATTGCACTGCCTCCATGGAACCTTCAGCAATTGAACTCCCAGATTATTTGATGTAAGTTCATATGTCTGCCAATGGAGAGAGCGGCTTAATTTTAGAAAGTTTGCAAATTCTTTTCCCATAATTTGCAAATCAGAAAAGTAAGAAGTTCCAGAAATAGAGTCCTGGAGCCACCCTTGCAATTGAAAGGCTGCCATTTAGCCTGCTCATCCCAAATCTACCCTTGTCTGCATGAGCAGGTTGTGCCTCCCCCCGCTCTGAGCTGTATTCGTTGGCCTTTAAGTATAGAGAATCCTGTCCTTTGTTCTGGGGCCAGGCTAAGCATTTGATTATGAAAGATTTTAGGGATCTGACTCTTCAAAGCTGACAGTCTTATCAATGCACAGTCATTCACTTGGGTCCCCCAAAGGGATGGTTTACTGCTGACAAAGTGCTTGAACCTCTGCACATAATAATACAAAGTGTAAAGATAGATTGATTTTTATTTAAGTTCTGCCCTCAAATTAATTTTTAGAGGAGATAAGAGTAAAATCTGATCATTTCAATTTAGTAATGGTTATAATGTTTTCTTGTTGTGACAACAAGTTGCTAAATGCTGAGCTGGGGACATTTTTGTAACTGGTTATCACAGAAATTATAACTTGGACACATAATTCTAGCTTTTTTGCAGAATAAAAGGCCTCTGTAAGAAGAAAATAATTAAGTTGCAAGAGCCTGGAAAAATGGAGAGGGAAAGAGCAAACAAATCTGACTTTGGATAGCTTTGAAAATGAACAAATGTGCAAAATAGCTAGAATGTAAAAGGGAAAATGGAATCTGGGCTGTCTGAACACTTTTTTTCTATTAGTAGCATCTCATGGTGGACAATGTTAAACTATGCTGTTTAGCCCTTTTCATTTCCAGAGTAAAGATCATTTTAGATTTAAAATGTGTTACTTCTGCTTAACAGTAGTGTGAAAGCTATACTTATTGGGGAATGATACAGTATGAAACCATAATGCTGGTTATCATCTCTTAACTAACAGGAACTTGAGAAACCTTGCTGAGTACCCTCTCATCTGAGGTAGTGTATGGTTTTAGAGTTCTCTAGGAGGGCCTTGAAAGGCAGCTATCACCTACCACTTAGTTGGCCCAGGAAGGGTCAGTTGTCTGCAGCCAGTCTTCCAGGACAGCCTCTGGCTCTGCTGCTGAGGGGGTTCACCTCTTTAACTGCAAACGACTTCTCCTTAGAAGTCTTTAAATGTCAGCCCCCTTGAGTAGCAACTGCCAATGCAGTGCTCTTGTTCTTTTTTGAATTCTTTTTTATAATAGTGACATATACTTATTATATACGACAGAATCATGTGGGGAAACTAAAAAACAATGCTAAACTTTTGCCCATGGATTCAAGGCTGTTGTGTTTTGCCAAGTTCATTAGTTAATCCCCCCTTTTTTTGTTTTTGAGACGGAATTTCGCTCTTGTTGCCCAGGCTGGAGTGCGATGGTGCGACCTCGGCTCACTGCAACCTCCACCTCCAGGGTTCAAGCGGAGCCTCCCAAGTAGCTGGGATTACAGGCGCCCACTACCACGCCTGGGTAATTTTTTGTATTTTTAGTAGAGATGGCGTTTCGCCATATTGGCCAGGCTAGTCTCGAACTCCTGACCTCAGGTGATCCACCCACCTCAAGCCTCACAAAGTGCTGGGATTACAGGTGTGAGCCTGGCCTTAATTTCATATTTAAAAGGTTTTTTCAGGTTACTTATCTAAGGATGGTTCCTGGATCTGCCTTGGTGCATTTCTGTATGTTTGTCATGTTTCTAGTACTATGTGATTGTTCGCTTAATTTATTTAAATAAACACAATTTATATTAACTAAAAACTAGTCTTACATAGATATAGCAAATTTTCTAAAAATAGTGAAAAAGCGTGGATTTTCAGAAAAATTACCAAAACTACAGAACTTAAGTTGCCTCATAAGAAAACTAAAGGGATATACTATAAAACCTAAATGATCGAGGCCGGGCGCGGTGGCTCACGCCTGTAATCCCAGCACTGTGGGAGGCCGAGGTGGGCGGATCACGAGGTCAGGAGATCGAGACCATCCTGGCTAACATGGTGAAACCCCGTCTCTACTAAAAATACAAAAAATTAGTCGAGCGTGGTGGCGGGTGCCTGTGGTTCCCAGCTACTGAGGAGGCTGAGGCAGGAGAATGGTGTGAACCCGGGAGGCGGAGTTTGCAGTGAGCCAAGATGGTGCCACTGCACTCCAGCCTGGGCGACAGAGCAAGACACCATCTCAAAAAAATAATAAAAAACCTAAATTATCAACCTTTGAATAATTCATACTTAACGAAAATATTTCTAATTTTTATGTAATAAGAATACTTTTACTTGTAGTTAAGCTATCAAAACTGTTTAAAATTTTTTCCATCACCACATAAACAGCCAACTGTAGAACTACAACAATTTTTCGTAAAAGTAGGACAACTTTTTTCTTAAAAATGCCAGTGTAACCAAATAATCTCTTCTATAATAGCAACACAGTTGTTGACCACACAACTGTGGTCATTGAATAATTTCCCTAAGGAAATTATTAAATAAAATACTGAAGGTATGCTTTTGAGAAAGCACGATAAATATATAACAAATTAAGTCTAAGTTTTAAGATCGGTTTAGCTGTGTTGCTAATATATGCTTATCCCCAGGAACCTCTTTTTACCCCGGGGCTCCCTCTGGTGTACAGTCAATACAGCCCATGCCTAGGAAGGACTGCTTCACTGCTTGGCTGGCAGTGTACCTTTTATAGCTAAGACACCAGGAGGGCAGCTTTACATCAGCAGACTATCACTGTCTCAATTATACTTAGAAAATTAAACCTCTACACTGTCTAATTCAGCATGAATAAAAATATTAATGAGGACACTAAGTTTGCTCACTGCATCACTTTTCTCACATTTTCTGCTAGGCGTCTGTGATATTAGTAATTTAAACAAACTGATGGGCTTATATAAGACCATTTGGAGAGGACTGAACTCCAAGATTTTATGGCAGTGAAGAATATATGTGTACCCCCAAGGGGCATCCTGAATCTCCTGCCACCTGCCTGAAATTGCTTTGAAATCTCAATTTTTATTTCAAAAACTCAAGGGAAGTTTGCATTAATGATAGGAACACAGAGTGCAAAGAACCAGGCCAGTTCCTTATGTGATCCCAGTTCCCAGATCTACAAATAAGTAATACTGTAATATGTAATAGGCCAGGCGCAGTGGCTCACGCCTATAATCCTAGCACTTTGGGAGGCCAAGGCGGGTGGATCACTTGGGGCCAGGGGTTCGAGACCAGACTGGGCAACATGACGAAACCCTGTCTCTACTAAAAATACAAAAATTAGCCGGGCATGGTGGCATGTACCTGTAATCTCAGCTACTCAGGAGGCTGAGGCACGAGAATCGGTTGAGCCCAGGAGGTAGAGGTTGCAGTGAGCTGAGATCGCGCCACTGCCCTCTGGCCTGGGCGACAGAGCAAGACTCCGTCTCAAAAAAAAAAAAAAAGTAATACTGTAATTCTAAGTTTAATAATAAAATGCTGTTTTAATTTACTTATTATTGAATAAACTGATGCTCTAGGAAAATGGTCTTCTCTTACCAGTTAAGAGTAATTTACATCCCAAAGTAAAACAGATTTATGGCATTTTATTAAGAAAGTAAGTTGGACTAATAGTACAACACTGGCTTTTGTTCAACATAGTATGACATTTAAATGTTTGAAAAGAACTAGAGAAATATGCCTTTTTTTGGTCTAACCCTCATTTTACAGAATGGTTGGTAATTTCCCTTTTGTGTTTCATGTATTTGCTTGGTCAGAAATATGAGGAAAGGGATAGAGGAAGCAAGCCTGAGGCACTTTGTTGAAGATGTCTGCTAGCAGCATATCTGAAAGGCCAAGCAACAGACTGCCTCTCATAAAGCAGTAGGTCCAGAGAGAGCTTTGACTTTCAGCACTCACGGACTGCGTGACATTCTCCTGGTTTCACATTACCCATTGAGTCCTTCTGTCTCTCTGTGACTTGTAACAGATGGGTTAGCATCCACCATTAGTGTGGTAGTGAATTATCTTGGATAGAGAAAGGTTCAGGAAACTAGATCTGTGTAAATACTGTTTTCTTTTTACTTAGTTGCATTTTAGTTCCATTGCCACCATGTCTTTACCACATTTACTCTCCTTCGTTGAAGCTCTCAAACTCTGTGTAATAATTTTACCTGGAAGATGTTTGGAGGAGTGACCTGGCAGCCAACCAGTGGCAGAGTGGCATTAAACATTAGTGACACATGCATGGATCTAATCTCTAAATATTTGGTTTAAATCTCAGACTTGTGCAATCATGTTTATTGGGTAGCTACTCTCCATTTATCTTTTTTCTTATTAGAAAATATATCGCTATCGTCTCCTATGAGCAACGCCAGAATTATAAGGATGACTTCAATGCAGAGTATGATGAGTACAGAGCTTTGCATGCCAGGATGGAGACTGTAGCTAGAAGATTTATCAAACTAGATGCACAAAGAAAGCGCCTTTCTCCAGGCTCAAAAGAGTATCAGGTAAATGGATTTGTAACTAGATGGGCTGACTTTCATATTTTACCTTCTTTCTTTCCCTGCCCTGCTCAACCTCAGCCATCACAGTGGCCTTTAGAGTAAGTACTCTTGCAGACCAGCCTCGCTGCTGCTTTAGGAAACTAAATATTTGAAATAGTTCTTGAAAATAAATTAACATAGTAAACCTGTATTTCTACCAGTGGAAAAAAACCTTGTGCCACTATAATGTATCACATATTGAGAAAAATACCAAACACAACTAAATAGGAAAAAAAGTTGGATCTTGAGATTCAGCTAACTATTTGATTAATTACACTGCCAACTTAGACTACAGCTCATAGGTCTGGTGCTATCCCAAAACAGTGCTATTTCAAGTATTTTTCTTTAAACCTCAATCTGAGATAGAATAGGGAAGATACAAACATAGGAAATAAAGAGGGCTTAATACACAGAGATTTGGGGTTTAAGTAAAGAAGTTTGCTGCTTCTAGCTACAAAGACGGATCTTTGTTAACCAGTCTTACTCTGTTTTCACTTTCCTACTTGAAGTGGTAATATTACTACAGCTGACAAAGAGCAGGAGATGCCTGCCTGACCTGTCTCCTGATTATTTTTGTAGTTCTTAGCAAAGGGATTGATAGAAATGAGTATTTCCCTCCCGTGTGGGCTAGATAACTTTGTCACACTTCACGGACACAGGTGGTATAGTGGTGCCTCTGTCCCAGCCCACTACCAGTGTTCAGGCTGGAGCCTACGTGAGACAATGGATGAGTTTTCCCACAACAGTAAACAGCCTGAGAGCATTTGTGTCCTCAAGATTCATTATGTCTTCTACTAGAGGGCCTTAATCTTTTTCAACAAGCTGGCGAGAGTTATAGGAGACTGCCAGAAGAATCGGTGTTCAGAGGTGCAAGAGGTTGGTGACATGGTGGTTTGGGGTTTATTTTTTTTTCTATATAGTCATTTATCAATGTATATAATTATACTGAAACTAGAATATAATTCCAAGGATTACTTGGTTAGGAGTGGTTAATATTTGTGTGGCCTTGGGCAAGTTACTTAATGCCTCTTTGCCTTGAATTCCCCATCCATAAAATGGGATAATCATTGAGTTATGAGGAATAAACATAAGTAAGCACAGTAAAGTGCCTGGATCCATGCCTGGTACTTGGTACATACATTAGGCTATTATCCCCCCCAGGCACCTGACTCCCCCCCTCACCAATCCCCACAGAAAATCACTGTTACTGGTTTCCAGTGTATTCTTTCGAAGTGTGTTTATGTGTGTGATATGTGCATGTATGTACACATGGTATAAAATGTATGTACATATCTACACAAGTAATTTCAACATATATACCGTATTTAATTGAATCTAAGGTTTCTTCATTTGTAAGCTACACCATTGTTTTATGCCCAATAACTTAAATTATGATACATTATTATTTGTACTGGTTTCATTGAAATGGGGAGAAATGAGCATCTTACAAGTAATGGAATTCTTAGAATACTATTGTGTTTTTCTCTTTTAAACTAATGGTATCAAGCTGTCCATATTGTTCAGCACTTTGCTTTCTTCACTAAACAATATAATGCATCTTAGAGAATTTTTTTATATTGGTACATAAAACACTTTGGCATGTTTTAATGGCCTCTTAGTATCCTTTGTATAGATTGATGGACATTTCAATTTTGTTTACTGTCTTTTGCTTTACAAACAGCACTACAGTGAATAATCTTGTATATGTGTCATTCACTGGGGAGCAAGTGTGTCCATAGGATAAGTAGAATTGCTGAGTCGATTTTGCATTTACTATTTTGATAGCTGTTGCCACATTGCCTTCCATAAAGATTGTTTCAAGTTACATTCCCACAGTCAATATTTCCTATACTCTTGCTGAATGCATGTTATCTATTTGTATTGCCACACACAAAAGAAGTTGTTCTCTTCTGATTTCTAATATTTAATTTTGTAGAATGTTCATGAAGAAGTCTTACAAGAATATCAGAAGATAAAGCAGGTAGGTATCATCACTGTTGATTTTCTGACCTGTGGTTGAAAAATGTTGTAAATTCTGCAATCTCATTCCTCTTTTTTTTTTTTTTTTTTCATCTGCAGTCTAGTCCCAATTACCATGAAGAAAAATACAGATGTGAATATCTTCATAACAAGCTGGCTCACATCAAAAGGCTAATAGGTGAATTTGACCAACAGCAAGCAGAGTCATGGTCCTAGAACTCTGCTTGGACCAGAAGATGTGAATAAACTTAAGCTTATTTATTTAAAATTCCAAATGAGTTGCTCTAGATTCTAAAAAGGTGAAACTTTGGCTGTTGAAAGTTTCAGTATTAGTAAACTTGAGTTACTTTTTCTTTTCCATTTTACTTTGCTTCCCTGCATTTCGAAGCTGCTCTTTCTGGTCCTCCCCACCACCCCACCCCCAAGACTTGTGTTTGTTAATAGAAATAATTTTTTTAGGTATTGGGGATCCATTGTCTATATTTCAAATCAGTTTTTTTTCCTCAAAAACTTGTGTTTGTTATTAGAAATGATTTTTTAGATATTGGGGATCCAGTGTCCACACTTAAAAGTTGTATGTGTTTAAAAAACAACAACAGTAATGTGCAAGGTGAAATGCTTTTGGATAAACGTAAGCCTATTTTCTGACGTTTCTTAATGCAAACTCTTTGCCTTAAATGGTAGAATATTTAGAAATTTGCACAAAATTAAAAAAATAAACATTGTCTTGGAGGGTTAAAAAATAGAAAGGTGTATGTGTATAGATTCACATACACATATGTATATACAGGCTGACTTGATCTAGAACATTAAATCCGCCCTGCAAGTTAACCCCCCATTGCAATGGTTGCCTTAAGGTGTTTGCTAGTTGTGTACATAGTGTGGTTAATCATTAGCTACACTGCTTCCCACTTGATTAGAGCAATGGGAAGCATACTGTGGCCTACCAGCATCTGGAAGTGTGTGCTCGATCTGTATGTGTGCAGAGGTGGTGTGGATGTGAGCGTGCATGAAGGAAAAAAAGCTGCTACTCCTAGTAGGCCAAACGCTCAGGTTAAACAACTGACGAGTGTTACTGTAGGGTGTTTTTTTGTTTTTTTGTTTTTTTTCTTCTATCAAATTGCTACTTTTGTTGTGGAAGACAAAAGCATTTCCATTTCAACGAGTTTGTCAGCTTTATTAATGTTGGGCAAAAATTGATATGTCATGAAAATGAAACAGATCTATAGTTTTGGGACAAAATTATAAAATGAAATGTGTAGGTAACCTATTTATATACTGCTATAAAGTATTTTTTGAAGAGAGATATGCAAAGAAGCTATTACCTACATAAGAGGTATATTTAAAGATTTTTTTTTTCATCCTGGTGCCAGGAATATAAAAAAGAGTGGATATATTTAACCATAACATACTGTGATTCATCAAACAGCACAAACTTTCATTTCATGGAGTTTATCTGTTGACATTGATTTAAACTGTCACTTGTTTTATCATGTGGGAACATAAGTTATGTGGTCAAAAATATAAGGATTTTGAATTAATGTTGATTCAAGTTGTATTGTCTTATTGTATTGTCTTTTCAAAGTGCTGCCAGTTGAAAAGGGAAGCATTATGTTTACAAATCTGTTTTGAAATGTTTGCCAAAATTTTGGTAGTGTCTTTAATAAAGATGTTTGTCTCCAGCATCCAGAAAAATAAATGAATAACTTTGTTGTGTATCACTGTAAACCAGAAAAATGTTGGTTATCTAGAAAACTTGAGAGAGCATGTAGATTAACTTTTCTCTTTGGAGTTCTAAAACATTAACTGGAAAGATTAGATAATATACTAAATGTATACAGAAGTATACAGACTATACAAAGACTGAAACAAGTCCCTTTTGCACTACAACTCTATAACATTACCGCAGAAATTTTGGTTCTATGTAGCATGGACCTCCTAAGGAATTCTGTTTCTTTTAGCATTGAGATCCCTGGTGCTCTTTTTTTACCTCAGAATTGGTACAATCATTATTAAACGTTAATTTATTTCAAACTTTTTAATTGAAAAAAGGAAAGGGAAACTTAATTGGGGATAAATTCAGGCATCATATTATTATGATAGAGTCTCCTGAGTGGTTCGTCTATAGGTAATGAACTCATTGGTGTTATTTCTTGGACATCTTGGCCTTTTAATCAAAGACTGTGTGCTGCTATTTGCTATGAGCAAGGTTTCTCAAAAGCAAAAGGTGCTTGGACCATTTGGATCACCTGAGTTAGAATCTCTAGGTATAGGGCCCAAGTATCTGCATTTTCACAGGTTTCTTGTAGGTGACTTTCTGCAAGCTAAAGTATGAGAACCATTGGCTTGGATGTAGTTCTAAACTTTTAGGTCTGTAAATCTTGAAATCTTGAACTGAAGGTCAACTATTGGCTTTTTTTTTTTTTTAATGTCCATCATGTCAGCAGGTGCAAATCACTTTTCCCCTTTGCATGATCTGAGGCACCTCCTCAGTTGTTTCACTGCCAACTCTTGTTTCAGAACCTGTTTACAAACAAGCCTTCCAGTTGGTGAATGGTTAGCCATTGGAGCTCCTACCCTGTACATCAGCACATCTTCTGGTTTACAAGTTGGGTAACAATGAAAGCTGGAGATGCTAAATGGAAATCCAGCATTGCATACCCTTAGACCTGATCACATACCAGTAAAAGCCTTAATTTAGATGTTAGTTGTATGTGTTGGACAGATCCTTGCAAAAGTGTGTCTGTCTATTAGTTGTAAATTTGAAAATTATAAATCTCTGAATCTGCTACTATCCAAGTTTCATCCCTTTTGAAGATGAGGCATGAGCCTATTAAAATATTTATAATCATTTTTCGTCCCCTACTGCAAGACTTTTAGATTCTTACAAATGATTACTACAGGAATAGTGGCCACTTAATGTCAGTTACTCCGGTGGAAGAATTTATCTAGTTTTTTTTCTTTTCTTTTTTGGAAGGATGGTGTGAAAAATAGCAAGATTAGAGAATGAGTTGTATAGTTTTTTCTATCACATTTCATCTAAAATGATTTGAAGGACTTTTGAAGATTTTTACCAACATCCTTAAATCAACTCCAGGTTGGATGAACAACTGATTTAAAACAAACTAAGAGAACATTAACTAGATGTGGGCTTTTTAAAATATATAGGTATTGCATTTCCTACCTTGTTATTTATTCCACTTTGAATACTTTAGAGGGCTTAACTTTCAACTCTTTAAGGTAGTAATGGATAGTTTTATACTTGTTCTCACAAAATTGTTATGGTCAGTTTATATCATTGCTCCATGCATTGATTATAAAAATTCAGTATTAATTTTTTCTGATCTTATAAGCTTTATAGGAGTTTTCTTTTCTCTTATAAAGTGTTTCACCTTATGTAAAACAAATGCCTGCTTGCATATTGGAAGATGTTGAAATTAGTTTTAGACAAAAGTGGTCCATCAATTCAGACACTCTGCTTGGATGCCTTACCCTTTTCATTAGTGCATTCTTTGCTTCTGAAACTTGGCAGAAACTCGTTAGCCAGTCCACTGCCTTTCTGACAATGTGTGGAGTCACGTATGCTTGGTATATGCCTTTACTACTTTTAAAGTTCTACAGTTTATTACTTGCCCAAGTGTTACTAAATCCTTTTCTTATGTGTACTGGATGGAGAAAAAATTATAGCCAGCACTTTGAGAGGAAAGTTTTCAGAAACAATATTAACTGGCACTACTAACTGAAGGCCACAGGAGATGCTATCAATGTTATTTGTAATCTGAAGATTGAACAAGGCTGTGAGGCTCATTTCAAACTATTTTGAGGTGTTAAAATATATATATGCTGTTTCTCAGCTGTTCCACTCAAACCGTGTTAGGACTCTCAAAGGTAAAATGTCACAGGGGCTTTTCAGTTGTTACAGAGCTCAGCAGCTGTGGTTGCCCCTGTTCTACACCAATTTCAGTTCAATAAAAATGTTAACTTTGCAATTCTGGTACTTGTTTTTCCTTTGTCTCATTTCAAGCCTCTTTGTCTTAAAAACAAACAGAAAGAGCCTATGACAAAGTATTAGCAGAGATATTACTTGTTAGGGCTCTAGGAAGTGGGAGCAGGGAATTTGCTCCAGGGATCTTTTTCTAAGTGTAGGACAGGCCCTCCAGGGACAACTTCTACTAGGGGAACAATAATCATAGTTACCATTTATGGAAGGTTTCCTTTTTGTTACACATTTTTGCTGCATTATCCCATTTCTCCTCACCACCTGTTATCTCCATTTTACAGGTGGGCAAACTAAGTCATAAAGAAGTTAAGAAACTTGCCTATCACACAGCTAGTAAATGGCAGAGCCTGGGAAGTCTGACCACAGCATCTGTGTTCCTAACCACTTCTCCATCCTGGGCCTCATATGTTTATATAGGATAAGACTAATCTTTTCAAAGTGACAATTCCAGTGATACCACATATGCTAGATAAGTCCTTTTGGTTCCAAAGGCTAGAATGTGGGGGTCGGAGTGATTTCTAGTGGATTATTTTGGGGGAGTTGATTTATTGGAAATGACAGAATACATTTGAAGGGAGACTAGCACACTTTTTGAGAAAACGTTGTTTCCCCTATGTTCGCTTTACTTTTGGAAGTGTACAGTGTTAACAATGGGGTATTTGAAAGTGGGCGGTGGAGGTAGGAGGAAAGGGTACAGTCTCGTAATCATATCATTTTCTCTTCATACCAAAAGCCTATCTCAGAAACAGACTCCAGCTTAGGGGTATCCAGTCTGAGAAGACATAAGGGCATTCTCCCAGCTGAATCCTTAACCTCCAGTTTCTAAAAATCTTCTGAAGGAATAATGGAGGAGGAAGGGAAGAAAGCCTCAATCAAACATTGGTATTAAAAACCCAGAGTGAGTAATGTGGGCGGTTCCTCTGGTCATATTTACAAGAAGCCTCAAGGATGAGTGAGTTTCACAACATGACGGTCGGGAGCCCTCCCCAGTCCCTTCTCCCACTGGACCTTTAACAGGCTCCTGTCCTCAGCTGTAAAATGAAAATATGCTTTTCTTACTGAGGCGTGGAGGGGTTTCAGTATTGTTTATAAAAGCACATGGGAATTCTGTGAAAAAAATCGTTCTTTACAGATTATCGGCTGAATGCAAGAAGGAGTGTTTCTTGAAGCATTACTTTCCATATGAGAATGAACTCATTTTGACTGATTGCAAAGGGGACAAAGGCAGTAGCTAGAGGTTTCAAGGTGAGGTGTTTGGGGCTTGTTTTATTGAATGCTGGGTGTACATGTACCTGCTCTACTGGTTTTACCTTTCTGAGACTGGGACAGAAAGCTGACAGTGGTAGTGGCAGTAGGAGGCTCTGATATGATTGCTTAATTCTCAAGTTGGGGATCAGATGATTCTGCCAGGTGCAATGGTGGAGATGTGTCATTTCAACTCCTGCTTGCCTCATTCAACTGACCAACCTGGCTGGTTTTTCTTACTGTAATTAAATGGTTGGTACAATGTGAGCATTTGTAGATGGACAATAAGAACTTCACGTCTGTCTAGGACTATAAATGTAGAAGTGTGCTCCCTGCAGATGAGCCCACATAATTGGCCAGCATGTTTGAGTTCTACAGCTGGGGCTTCTAGAAGCATGCTGACTGCCCTTCCATACTTGCTGAATTCCAAATAGGCTTACAGAATCCCATTGTGGAGTACATGGATAGCATGATCTACCTTACCAGTCTCGCTGCCTCTTCCTCCTACTCTCCACACACCAGTCACACACACCTTCCTTCAGGCTCTCCAGTACTCCTTGCTCCTCCTATCCCAAAGGCCTCATGTGCTAAGTAGACTCTGTACCACCAATACCACCCTCCACCCCTTCCTCACTTAGCTAAGTCTTCCATATCCTTAAGATCTCCACTTAGGCATCACTTCCTTCAGGAAGCCTTTCCTAACCGCCCCCCTGCCCCCACCCCATACTACCCAGGTCCTCTGGGTATATGCTCTCTTTCATTCTATACTTCTCCTTTGTGGCATTTATCATAATTATAACTGGATACTAATTGCATTAGTAAGTTCTGTGGGAGTAGAAACTGTCCTGTTCACCAGGGTGTCCCCAGCCTCTAGACTAGTGTCTGCCATATAAAATGTGCTCAGTAATAATTTATTGAAAGAATGAATGAGGCAAACTATTTCTATCGGTCATATTTAAAATTCATGTGGCCCAAGGATTTGGATTACTGCAAGAATCTGCTATCTCATTCAAGTTTGTGTTCCTTGCCACTTTATCTTCCCAAAGTCATGATTAGGAATCAGTTAATGATGGCAGACTGGTGCCCATGACAAACCGACTGATAGAGTTTGGATATTTGTCCCCTCCAAATCTAATGTTGAAATGTGATTACCAGTGTTGGAGGTGGGGCTTGGTGGGAGGTGTTTGGGTTATGGAGACAGATCCCTCACGAATGGCTTGGTGTCTCCATCCGCCCCCCACCCCCACCCCCACCCCACCTCGGTAATAAGTTCATGGGATATCTGGTTGTTAAAAAGAGCCTGGCATCTCCTCTCTCTCACCATGTGTCATACCTGCTCCCCCTTTGCCTTCCACCATAAGTAAAAGCTCCCTGAAGCCCTTCCCAGAAGTGGATGCTAGCACCATGCTTATTGTACAGCCTCCAGAAACATAAGCCAAATCAACCTCTTGTCTTTATAAATTACCCAGCCTCAGGTATTCCTTTATAGCAATGCAAATGGACTAAGACACTGACTTGACTTTGCGAGTCCTTTTGCCACGTGTTTTTATTGACATTTATTTTATGCCTAGCATTTGTGTAATTTTCCAAGTGCTTCCAAGAACTAGCAGAGCCCAATGCTGTTGATGGGCTCTGCTAGTTCTCCAGTTACAGGAATCCCAACCCTTCACATTGTAGATGGTGAAATGAAGACGTCTAAGTGACAGCACGTGGGAAGGCAGGATGGGACCCCAGGAGCTTACACACTCTTCCTAGGTGGTGCCGAGAACAGCCCAGCAGCCACTTCCAAAAAATGATACGAAGACAAGGAGTGGTAAAGTGCCAGGCAAGCTGTGCCAGAGCACAAGCAGCGGGCACAGGGCTTCAGAGCAAGGAGTCTTGCCAGACAGCCTGGCTTAGAGTCCTGTTGTGCCACTCACAAGCCACAGACTGTGGGCATGTTTATAAAGCCCCAGATCCTCTGTTTCCCATCATGAACAGGATAGTACCTGCCTTGGAGGTTGCTGGGCTGACACATACGTAGAGAGGTGTCTGGCACCTCATAAGTTTACTATATGTATTTTTATTGGATACTTTAAAATTATTTCTTTCCATCTTTTATTCAGAGGTGGAAAGTTCTGTAGCAATATATGTAGCAAAGCAACCAGTCAGAGCTGAACAACCCTATTAGGTTAATTTAGATTTTTGCATAAGAGTGATTGATTGAGCTCCCCGGTAAATGGACACAGCCCAGAACATTTTAAAAGCTCTGCTATTGATTTCTCTATCAAAAATCAGATTTCTCTATGAAATACTTTTTTTTTCCTGTGAATCTTTTTTTTTTTTTTTTTTTAAGAGGGAGTCTCGTTCTGTTGCCCAGGCTGGAGTGCAGTGGCACGATCTCAGCTCCCTGCAACCTCCGCCTCCCGGGTTCATGCGATTCTCCTGCCTCAGCCTCCTGAGTAGCTGGGATTACAGGCACACATCACCATACCCGGCTAATTTTTTGTGTTTTTAGTAGAGACGGGGTTTCACTATGTTGGCCACACTGGTCTTGAACTCCTGACCTCGTGATCTGCCCACCTTGGCCTCCCAAAGTGCTGGGATTAGCAGCACTGGCATGAGCCACCACGCCCGGCCCTCTGTGAATCTTTTCAAGTCCCACATTAGCTTCTCTTGGCATCTTGGCTACCAGTAACTTAGACACAGTGCTGATGCATTTGTTCTCAACTTGAGCTGAACTTTGAATATTCTCTCTATTCTCTTTTCCAGTTGTCTTTATAGAGGACAGTTTTTAAAAGAGCGTTTTTGTCTGGAAGCCTAAGTGCTTCTTGCCACCTAGTTACTAGAGGGGGTTGTTCGTTACAGGTAAGATGCTTTGGATAAAAGGCTGCTGTGAAAATCACTCTTTCTTACACCTGTAAGTTTTTCCTTCTCCTCCCAAGGATAGAGTTCATTTAAATCAGCCTTGTCAAAGGAGTGCCAGGAGGGTCTCTAGGGGTCTCGTGGCCACCTGAGCTTCAGAACTCTGCAGCTGAGAACAGCTGTAAGGGGACACTAGGGACCGTCAGCAAAGCCACCTTTTTCTCCACCCTCCTCCTTCCCTCCTCTTTCTCTGCCCCTGTTGACAAATCTTTATTGCTGTGGTAGCCAATTATCATCCACCCCTCCCTTCCTTAACTCACCCTCCCCACCTGCTCCTCCCTTCTCTTCACTCCCTCCTCTTGACTGAGTGAATGACCCTGGCTCCCCTCTTCTGTTAGCATGCACATCTTACCATTTTCCCCTTGTCTTTGGTTAAAAATGACCTGACATATAGATGGTGACAAGGCCAGGTCAGAAATAGGGACCTAAAAGCATGAAAAATTGGGGAGGATAGAAAATGCTTTGTGGTATTGGGGGAAAGAACGGAACATGGAGTTCTCTACCCTGGGCCTGAGTTCCAGTTGTGACATTCACCTACCTTTGACCCAGGGCAATTTGCCTAAACCCCTAGATCTTCTTTCTTTCATCCCTGGTAATGTAGGATAATGCCTGTGAAGTTTAAACACTGTCACATTGACCATGAGGGACAATCATAAAGCAACAGCGATTGTCATGTGTGTCCCTACAAATCCACTTTTTGGGGGCTGTTTGCCTTCAGAGATGAAATTTCTGGCGGTTCCCAGAATTCCTCAGAGACAGCTACTTTTAAATAAGTCCTGTATTCACTTTTAGCAAGGGCCTCATTTCAGTAACTCACAAGTCCAGTCATGTAACAGCCACAGTTCTGAAATACATTTAGAACTGAATATTCTCCCCTCGTCCAGCTTAGGCCTGCTTTAGTCTGGAAGCCAAGTGCTTTTTGCCATCCTCCCCACTCCTCCCACCACCCAGCATTTCCCAGGATGAAAGGGTGGGAAGGTAGGGAGGAGAGACAAGGAGCATGAGAGGGCTGATTGAATGACAGCTTTGAAGTCCTTGGCCTTGGTTTCCTTTGGGCATTGTCAAAGCCCACCCTGGTTGCCTCGGACTCCTCTGACCTCTCCTATGGCTGGCCCTTGCAGTGGCCTTCAGCATCTGCCTCCAATAGCATACTGCCGTCACTTCAGGCAAGAAGCTAGTAAGCTTACTGCCCATTTAAAAATGATCATACCAACATGCCAACTCGAGGTGTCCCATCTGGTCGCTCACCCACACTCCCACCCCAGTCATAGACCAATCAGCACTTTTGGGCTGGTATCCGTGAGTGTAGTGACTTCCAAATGCATCCTTGACTCTGCTAGACCTTTATTTTCAGGCACAAGTCACATACCAGCCCTGTGTGTCCCCCAAGCTTGAGGTGTCACAAATTACTTTTTCTAAGTACTCTTTATGAAGCTGTTCTCTTTAGCCTTGTGGCAAGAGGGAAGCTCACTGCCAACCCTCTATAGAAACCCTGATTTCTAACATGAGCTGACTTTTCTACTTCCACCCCTTACATCAGTGAGGAGCCAGAAGTGAAGGGAGAAAAACTGGCTTTTTTTTTTTACTACTCCTCTCTGTGAGTCCTGCAATATAGGGTTCAGAATCTGAGTTACACTACAGTGTGGAAGTTGTGGATGTAGATGGCACATCTTGTGACTTCAACCAAAGCTGTCAGCAAGTCCTGCATGAAACCCTCTTATATATATTTGTGAGTTCCTCAGTCATAGAAGCCATGCATATTTGTTCTGCAAATATTTACATAGACTTTGTGCTAGGTGGTGGGAATACACCATTGAACAAGAGAAATGCAAATGACACAACTTGATTCCAGTTGTGGTAAATGCTCCAAAATAAAAGGTTGGCTGTGAGAATTAATAATAAGGGGACGTGGCACAGTGAGGCAGTGGGGTCAGGCTTCCCCAAGAGGTGGCTAAAGCTAATATTTGTTGAGGGGAGAGCTCCATAAAGAGCATGGTAGACAGGCCCCAAGGTAAGACGGACTTTAGGCTCACTGAATGTATGTGTATCCAAATCACTTCTCATTAACAAAAGCTATTTAGGGCCTTGCTTTTTTGTTGCTGAACTTGTTCCTTCAATGGCTTGTTTGCCTTTACTACCCATTGCTGGGGAGATGAAGCCCAGACATGATTCCCTCCTCAGGTCTAGGCATGTCAGTTAGTGCCTTATCAGTGGTGTTTTGGTATTTGAGGTTCTTATCTGTGAGCGTCTCTTGTTGCTAATTAGTTCTGAGGAAAGTTTCCAAAACAGAGAGATTGCATTTTAGTGGCCAGTGGACCTCAAACTGGCCCACGGGATTTCACATGGGAAAGTTTGAGCTGGGGAGGAACCATGACTGCCTTCCCCAGCGCCCTCCGTCTTCCTGGAGGCCAGAGGCTGGTGCACAGTGAGTGCAGAGAGCCGAGACTGGCTGGCCCCTCCCTTGTGGAGGTTTCTGGGGTTATAGCCCCATCACTGTGGGGCTCTCAGAGGCCGTTCCTCTGAGAAGAAGAGAAATAACATCTGCACTATTAAAATTGCCCATGAGCTCTGTCTGTTGTCAGCAGCAGGCGAACCATGTGTGTGGTGTGGCTCTAACGAGGTTATTGGTGGGCAAGCAGGAAACTGAAACAAGGGGGCTGGGAGAAAGATGCCCGAGGGTCAGAGAAACTGAAAAGAAGCCCTTTTGGGAATGAAAAATGAGCAAAAGTAAGGAAGCGCAGTAAGTATTTTCTTACCAGACCACTTGACAATCAATGCTTTATGCCTTTTTTTTTTTTTTTTTTTTTTTCCCGAGACGGAGTCTCGCTCTGTCTCTCCCAGGCTGGAGTGTAATGGCGCGATCTCCGCTCACTGCAAGCTCCGCCTTCCGGGTTCACGCCGTTCTCCTGCCTCAGCCTCCCGAGTAGCTGGGACTACAGGCGCCCGCAACCACGCTCGGCTAATTTTTTGTATTTTTAGTAGAGACGGGGTTTCACCGTGTTAGCCAGGATGGTCTCGATTTCCTGACCTTGTGATCCGCCCACCTCGGCCTCCCACAGTGCTGGGATTACAGGCGTGAGCCACCGCGCCCGGCCTCTTTATGCCTTTTACAGATGTTTCCAGGCTTTCTCAATGGGCCCTTCTTTTAAACTATTTTTAGCATGAGGTGGGATAAACCACCAAGAAGAAACAGGCCAGGAAAGGTCCATCGGTATCAGCGCTAGCCAAGAATGCAGGTCGTGGCCGGGCGTGGAAGCTTAGGCCTGTAATCCCAGCAGTTTGGGAGGCCAAGGCGGGCGGATTGCCTGAGGTCAGGAGTTCGAGACCAGCCTGGCCAAGCTGGTGAAACCCTCTCTCTACTAAAAATACAAAAATGAGCCGGGCATGGTAGCGGGCGCTTGTGATCTTAGCTACTCAGGAGGCTAGGGCAGGAGAATCACTTCATCTCGGGAGGCGGAGGATGCAGTGAGCCAAGATCACGCCATTGCACTCCAGCCTGGGTGACAGAGTGAGACGGTGTCTCAAAAAAAAAAACAAAAAACAACACAGGTCTTATCTCCCCCACTGTACCCACCTCCTGTCAGCCTGCCTTAAGAGCTCATCCTCTCAGGCTTGGTGCTGAGCCCCAAAATTGGCCTGGTAACTGGAGGGACCCAGTAAGGTCTCCTCACAGCCCAGTCATGTTCTGCCTCCTTGAAAGTTTTTCTCCCAAGAGTACTGATGTAAACCCCTTTTTACAGGAGGTAACATTTCCATTGCCCTGCTCTGCTCTGGGCCAGGCATTCCTCACTGCCTCGGCTTCTTCAACCAGGTAAACACCTCAATCTGCTATGAAAATGCCTCCCTTCCTGCTAACATTACCCTTGAGTTGAGGCCATTCCACAGATAACTTGACAGCCCTCAGGGCCCCCACCCACTATTGTAACCACCCCTCCTCCTGTATTCTGCCTGGAGGTGGGATGCAATGCATCATGGCCAGACTCAGTTTCCACCTATTGGTGCAACGTATGGTAATTGCTGTTTGCATTCAGCTCAGAACAAAAGGAAATCTGTTCTACACCCTTGTTCTGATCTGTACTCACACTGATAAGGATAGCCTAACAACAGCCATGCTTACCCATTGTTTGTCAGAGCACCAGTTCTCAGAGGGTATCCTCTGACCCCCGGCAGCAACAGCAGCACCTGGGAACCTGTTAGAAATATAAATTGTCAGGCTCTGCCCCAAACCTGCTTAATTGAAAACTCATGGGGTAGGACCCAGCAATCAGTGCTTTAACGAGTGCTCCAGGTGATTCTTACTTGAGGCTGTTTGTGTGCTCCACCATCTAGTTCATTAGAATCACCTGGGGAGTTTTTTTTTAAACCACACCATTGCCCAGGCCCCGACCTAGACCAAGTGAACCAGAATCTGTTGGGGTGAGGCCTAGGCAGAGGGTGTTTGTAAAATTCATCAGGTGATTCAAATGAATGGTGAAAAGTGAGGATCAGCTTCCTAGGTAAGACTGGCATCTCCCAAATAAATGCAGGGGAATGTAGGCATTACCCAAAAAGAGTTCTGTAGCCTTTGTAGCATTTGAAAAATGCTAGATTTAATAGTTAACACTTTATTTATTTATTCAGAGACAGAGTCTCACTCAGTCGCCCAGGCTGGAGTGCAGTGGCGTAATCTTGGCTCACTGCAACCTCTGCCTCCCGGGTTCACACCATTCTCCTGCCTCAGCCTCCCAACTAGCTGGGATACAGGTGCCCATCACCACGCCCAGCTAATTTTTTGTATTTTTTAGTAGAGAGGGGGTTTCACCGTGTTAGCCAGGATGGTCTTGATCTCCTGACCTCATGATCCGCCTGCCTCGGCCTCCCAAAGTGCTGGGATTACAGGCGTGAGCCACCGCGCCCAGCCAACACTTTTATTTTTATGAAGGACTTTTATACACCTTTAATATGCTGAAATGTTCTCCAAGAGGGCATAGAGACCACAGTGTGCCCATTTTTATGAGAGTCTCTTAGAATCAATTTTCCAAGGAACACAGATTTTGGAAGTGCTACTTAAGGTTTTATGCTAAAAGCTATTTCTACAGCAAGTCAGGTCCCCAGAATGCCATGCACCTGTGCTCTGCTTCACTGCCTCTTTTGTTTTTGTTGTTGGTGGTTTTTTTGTTTGTCTGAGACAGAGTCTCCCTCTCGCCCAGGCTGGAGTGCAGTGGCACAGTATCTCAGCTCACTGCAACCTCCATCTCCCGGGTTCAAGCAAGTCTCCTCCCTCAGCCTCCTGAGTAGCTGGGACTACAGGTGCCCCCCACCAAGCCCAGCTAATTTTTGTATTTTTAGTAGATACGGGGTTTCACCATGTTGGCCAGGCTGGTCTTGAACTCCTGACCTCAAGTGATCCACCCACCTCGGCCTCCCAAAGTGCTGGGATTACAGGTGTGAGCCACCGCACCCAGCCCAGTTCCCTGCCTCTTAAGCCATCTCTTTATCATAGCTAAGGCCCCTGTAAGTAATGGTGATATGAGGAACATCCCTGTTTGATTGTTTGTACCGTTGCTCTCAACAACTCTGTTATCCAGCATCCTTTATAAAATTATATAATAAAGTTTTCTTAGAGTTTATGCTGGGGAAAATGTATATCTCTCTGGGTGAACCAGTGTACCTCCTTAAATTAGATAATGAGAACTTTGGTGCCCACTGTGTTGTCTTGTGTCAGAAACTAAATATTAAGTTTTGTTCCCGATCACAATTGATTAGTTTGCGTATATTTTTACCTCCCCACAACTGTAGTCAGTGATGTCATTTCATCTCTTTTAATAGTTTCATGACTTAGCAATATTTATCATCATCTATTTTTAATCCCGTTTAGAAGATTAGAGATAGATAGCTTTGGTATAATCTTTAAAATGAAAAAATAGGTTGGTACTACTGCAAACCTCTCTCTCTAAAAACTCCTTGCACTATCTGTATACAGAAGAGTTATACAAGTGCAAAGAAAAACTCCAAAACTGCCATTGTTCCAACTGTTACCTCCTGTAAAATCTAAGATAAAAATCTGAAATTTGTAATGGCCATATGTTTTAAAAGATTATATAGTATTTCTGGAAATGTGATTTTCCTATTTTACCTATTTAGTCTCATGAGCATTCTTCATAAATACCTAGTCATCCCAGAAATTCTGGAAGAGTGCACTGAATGTCCTAAACAATACTTTTCAAATGTACATCTATTACTGTCTAAAAAAATCTCCCCCAGAATTTAGCAGCTTAAAACAACAAGCATTTATTATCTCACACAGTTTCTAGGAGCAGCTTAGTTGGATGGTTTGAGTTCAGGATCTCATACAAGGTTGCAACCAAGCTATTGACTGGGATGGCAGTTGTCTCAAGGCTTGACAGGGGCTGGGGAATCCACTTCCAAGCTCACTTACATGGTTGTTGGCATTGGTCGTTTGACTGGAGCCCTCTGTTCCTCACCATGTGCAGCTTTCCACAGGCTGCCTGAGTGTCCTGACACATGGCAGCTGGCTTCTCCCAAAGTGAGCGTTGAAAGAGAGAGAACACAAGTGATCGCACTTAAGATGGAAGCCACCATCTTTTACAATCTAATTTCAGAAGTGCAGATTCTGCTGTTAAGTAACATTTCTCTTCACAGCTTCCCTTTAGCAATACTTCCTTTAGGATAGGACCACAGCCCTAAACTTATGAGTTTTTGTAAAAACTAGCATTGGGATTCTTCTTATTTCTGAGAAGTTTTCTATTTATCAGCTGTTGAGTGTTAGCTGATTTCCAGCTGAATGAGATATAGAGTCTATGATGCTATTAGTCAAGGTTTTGCCTCTGCCAGCCTGTCCCAGGCAGAAGCATCTGATGTAAAAACATAAAGGAGAGAAAAAAATGTGAGAGAAGACAGGACTAATAAATAATCAACTCTTATGATTGTGATGGTTTGCCTCCAGAATCCCCATTCATTCATTAAAACCAATAGTTATGGCACATTTCCCATGTGACACCATTCTAGGTACTGAGGATAACACAGTAAACAAAACAAAGTCCTGCCCTCAAGGGGCTAACAGTTTGTGAATGTCAGAGCCAAGTATTCCCAGGAGAAGAATACAGAGAAAGCAAACATTTTCTTTAACAAACACTTATATAGTTCTCGCTGTACGTCTGGCACTGCTGCAAGCACTTTGAAAATAATTAAGTCAGCTACTCCTCATAATAACCTACAAATGTTATCCCCATTGTATGGCTGGGCCACAGAAAGGTTGAGTACTTTCTTAGGGCCACACAGCTATTAATAGCTAGTAAGTCACAGAGCTGGACTTTGAACCCAGGCAGTCTGGCCACAGAGTCCATGTTCTTCACCACCCTAGGCTAAAAGTGTTGTTCTCTGATTTTTGAGTAATCACTGGTGCCAGTTGTAAATTAATCCACAAATAGTAAATTTTGATCACTAAGTACTGCTGTGGAAATTGACCAGTGACCTAAGGTTATAAGTTCCTTTTTTCAGAAATCAGCCGTGCGTGGTGGCTAGCCGGGCACGGTGGCTCATGCCTATAATCCCAGCACTTTGGGAGGCCAAGAAGGGCAGATCACTTGAAGTCAGGAGTTTGAGATCAGCCTGGCCAACATGGCAAAACCCCATCTCTATTAAAAATACAAAAATAAGCTGGATGTGGTGGTGCGTGCCCATAATCCCAGATATTCAGGAGGCTGAGGCATGAAAATCGCTTGAACCTGGGAGGTGGAGGTTGCAGTGAACTGAGATCACACCACTGCACTCTAGCCTGGCGACAGAGCAAGACTGTCCAAAAAAAAAGGAAAGGAAGGGGAAGGGGAAAGGGAGGAAAGGAAAGGGAAGGAAAGGAAAGGAGAAAGAAAGAAGAAAGGAAGAAGGAAGGAGAAAAGAAAAGTTTCATGTAGCCTGTGTCTTTTCACTGCATGGGAAATCAGTGTCCCCAGAAGAGCATTCCAAACGGTCCTGAGACAACCAACAGGAGAGGAGAATCCAAAGCTCTGTCAGGCATCAAGTCCAAATGATGAGGTAGAGATGGAAACCAGAAACCAAGCAATGACATTGGAGGCCCATCTGGTCTGGAGCATGACAGGATGAAGCAGGATGAACAGGTCAAGGCAAGAGGTTCAGGCTGGAGGCTGTGGACAGCAGGTCCTGGATGGTACCCAAGAAGTGCTGCCAGGATGGGAATAGAATCTAAAGGACACTCGTGAGCAAATCGGTTTCATCAGATTATCATCCTAACTCACTGACCATGACTGTTATGATGATCCAGTAACAAACAAAAATGTGTCCTCTTTTTCTCAGTCTGTTGTAAAAAGTCATTTCTGCTCTGGTTTTTTTCTTTTCTTTCTTTTTTGTTTAGAGACAAGGTCTTGCTGTGTCACCCAGGCTGGAGTGTAGTGGCATGATAATAGCTAACTGCAGCTTCAAACTCCTAGGCTCAGGGGATCCTCCCAAGTAGCTAGGACTGCAGGCATGCCATTTTGCTTCACTTAGTTCATTCAAAAAACACTTATTGGGAAGAGAATAGATGTAAAATGGTAGTAAGATGCTGCTTAATATATAAAAATGAATAAGACTTGAGACCTACTTTCAAGAAACATATGGTATAACTAACATGGGTAAGAAGAGAAATCTATAACTATAATAAGATGCATTAAATGAGGTCAGTGAACGATCACCGTTATTATGAGAGTGATGATGATGGTGAAAGGAGCTATAAAGAGTGAAATGAGTGTAATCACATTCAGATGAAGGGATGGTAAAATCAAAAGGAAAAAGAAGAAATCATGGGCAACATTTATCCTAAGTAATGAGGTAGGGTGGTGTAATGGCAAGACATGGGCTCACCTCTCAGATCGTACAATTTCCATGTGCCTCAGTGTAACCACTGAGTTCTTTGAACTTTAGAGTTTTTTTCTTTTTCTTTGGAAAATTAGCGAATACTACTAACCTACTGTAAGGATCAAGTGGAATAATGCATGTCAAGATCCCTGCACAATGCCTGGCTCATAGTAGCTGTTTTGTAAATGTTTATTTTCCTTCCAAATTAAGTCTACTTGCGTAACATGCTTCATTCCTTAATTGCCATTATCTGTTGTATTAACTATCTAACATATATAAAGACTTTTTAAAAAATATTCTGACTGGGAGCGGTGGCTCACACTTGTAATTCCAGCACTTTGGGAGGCCGAGGCAGGCAGATCACTTGAGGTCAGGAGTTCACGACCAGCCTGGGCAACGCAGTAAAACCCCATCTCTACTAAAGATACAAACATTAGCTAGGTGTGTTGGCTCAAGCCTGTAATCCCAGCTACTCAAGAGGCTGAGACATGAGAATCGCTTGAACCCGGGAGGTGGAGTGCGGTGAGCTGAGATCGCGCCAGTGTGCTCCAGCCTGAGTGATAGCATGAGACTCTGTGTCAAAAAAAAAAAAAAAAGTTCTTACCTCTTGTTAAGTATATCTGTTATGTAATTGATTGTATAACTTTTAGCTGTATCATTGCTCTTGTTCTATTAACCTTATGTCTAAAAAGCAAATGATGTACACTGTACTTTCCTGGCCAAAAAAAACCCCACAAAAAACAAATAAGAGAACCATTGTGAAAGTGGTTTTCAAACTATCAAGTGTAGGAAATGGTATTATCATAATGTGTACCTTATCTTATGTTCCCTCATTTAGAAAGAAATCCCTGCCCTCTACCCTTTGAGTGGGAGACACCTTTAGCAGATTTGAACTGGGTTTTTACCCTGGCATGTCTTTAGGCAAGTTTTGTAGTGACTGCAGGCTATTTCTTTGGAATATTTAGGGTCTGCTTGAGGCTGGCTTGGAACTTGGCCAGTGCTTTCCATAGAGGTGCAACACTGTACATGTAAAAAGAAAATAGATCAGAATCTCCTGTAGCTGTGCTGTCTCGTTCCTCAGCTAAAGGTCATTCTTAATCCTTCTATAGCTCCCAGAATGCTGTATGCAGTGGTTTTTTAAATGCGCCAGGGAGGAAATGGCATCTATAAAGCAAAGCAGGAAACAACCTCTTCACAGGAGCAAGAGACCACAAATGTTCCAGAATTCCATTTAAAACACTGCAAAGATGAGTTCTAGGGAAACTTATGGTCATGTTTTTCCCATAGTTAAATTTTGGAACTATATTCCTGGGTAGGATTATGGCTGGGACTTTAACCATCAGCCTTCTGTAAAAGGGAATGAAGAAAGAGGCAAGTCCATGAACCAGTGTCACCACGGACGCAGAGGATGGTATTAACCATGGCTGGGGAGTTCCCACTAAACCCAGGGACCACCAAGCTGAGATCAATGTGAGACTAACTGCTTCTCAGAAACATAGAAATCAAAAGCAACACTGAGAATGTCACACTCAGACTGTTGTGAAGCACATGGCATTGAACACTGAGAATCCGTGGGCCTGACCTGCAGAGCTGACTCCTTTCCTTAGCAGCCCCATTTCTCAGGAGGAGCAGCAAACCCCCACCTCCAGTAGAAGCCAACCAAGTCCATTTCCCATAGCCACTGGCAGCCCCTTAATCACTGAGTATTTTCCACAGGCTGGACTACATAGAACTTACCCATTCAGAGAAGGGGTTATTTCAAAACTAAAAGTAAATTTGTTCTCTGAATATGATCTCATTTCCACATTTCCTAAGCTTACCAGCAGCTTGAGTTTCCTTTTTTCTATTCATAGCAGTTCCTTCATCTACTTTTGACTCAACCCTTATCAAAGCAGGTATAGTTCCCTCAGACATTTGTCTGGAAAAACCATGTAAGTGACTCAACAACAAACAACTAAGGAAGCATGAGCACTGCTGTATCATCTTTTTGGTTTAGTATCCTTTATTTTCTAGAAGTGATGCTTTTGTATCTAGCTTCTTTGTATGTATTAGCTAATAGAACAAAAACAGAAAAATATTTACATATATATATTTTACACAAATATATATGTATATATATAAAATGTGTTGGCCAACACCCTTATAATTTACTGCATAAGTTGTACACATTAAAAGAAAAAAAAGATAGCAATGTCTCCTTTAAAAGTTATGCCAAAATTAAAACCCATGCCACTTGAAAAGGTTAAAGCATACTATTTCTAACACCTATTAAACTTCTTTGCTTTCTTAAAACATTCTGTACAGATACTGCCTAACTGTGGAAATCAGTACATCCTTTTCCTCTTTTTAGCCCCTAAAATAAAACTAGCTCCCTCAAGCCAAAAAAAAAAAAGAGGTAGGTTTTGTTTTGATTTCTTCTTATGTGGTATCTCAGCTCATGCTGAGGAAGTGGCTGCAAACGTGTTCACTGTGCCCACACTGTGGTTCCCCAGGCTTGGGGCTGGGGGATGAAGTTTTGTGAAACTTGGTTTAGCCTGGGCTTATTTTGGTGCCTGAGCCCAAATATTTCTTGCCTCTTTCTGCTCCTACTCTCATGCCACTTTTCATTCTTTATTTCTTTTCTTTCTTTTTTTTTTTTTTTCTTTTTTTGGAGACAGAGTTTTGCTCTGTCACCCAGGCTGGAGTGCAGTGGCATGATGTCGGATCACTGCAACCTCCACTTCCTGAGTTCAAGCGATCCTCCTGCCTACAGGTGCATGCCACCATGCCTGGCTAATTTTTTTGTATTTTTAGTAGAGCTGGGGTTTCACCATGTTGGCCAGGCTGGTCTCAAACACCTGACCTCAGGTGATCCTCCCACCTCAGCCTCCCAAGTAGCTGGAATTACAGGTGTGTGCCACCATGCCCAGTTTTGTTTTGTTTTGTTTTGTTTTTTTGAGGGAGCAGGTCTCGCTATGTTGCCAAGGCTGGTCTTGAACTCCTGGCCTCAGCCTCCCAAAGTGTTGGGATTGCAGGCGTGAGCCACCATGCCCAGCCTCACACCACATCTTGATGTGGGCCTTAGCTTATTTTTATGTAGCTGTTAGCCCACTTTTGTACTTGCCTTCTCAGCTTCCCTCAAGGGGCCTAGAAGGCATCAAAGTCAAGACAACTCTAAAAGTTTATTTTGACAAATAGTCTAAAGCCATGACTATCTGTTGTAGAAATATCTGGTCACTTTAGCAAAAACACAAAGCAAATATACATTGGCTGTAGATCTCACATGAATTTTATCATTTCTTGCCATTAAGCTTATGCTATAGAAGCCTGCCAGTTGGGGACAAGCTGTGAAATTTGGGTTTTATAAGCAGATATACCAGGAAGGTACAGGTGATACTGTTCTTTTTAGTTCTTGTGATTGTCCTTTGGGCCAGTAGCAAAGAAGCCATCCTGGCAGAGGAGCTGACTTTGAGGTCTGCAGACACCCAAGGGGCTCTTGGATAGAATTCCAAGGTTCTATAAACTTGGATGGGGAAAGACCCACTTATTTGTTTTCACTAACCTGTAACTAAAATTTAGCAATTTTTTCAATTAAGAAGGCAGGTAACTGTCTTAGTCCATTTGTGTTGCTATAAAAAAAAATCTAAGTCTGGGTAATTCATAAGGAAAAGAGGTTTAATTGACTCATGGTTCTGTGGGCTGTATAAGAAGCATGGTGCCAACATCTGCTCCTTGTGAGGGCCTCAGGTTGCTTTCACTGAAGGCAAAAGGCAGTGGGGAACCAACAGGTGCAGAGATCACATGGCAAGAGAAGCAGCAAGAAGGAAGAAAGAGGGAGGTGAGAGGCTCTACTTTTTTTTGAGACTGAGTCTCTGTTTCCCAGGCTGGAGTTCAGTGGCGCGATCTCGGCTCACTGCAATCTCCGCCTCCTGAATTCAAGCAATTGTCCTGCCTCAGCCTCCCAAGTAGCTGGGATTACAGGTTCCCGCCACCACACCTGGCTAATTTTTTTGTATTTTTAGTAGAGACGGGGTTTCACCATGTTGACCAGGCTGGTCTCAAACTCCTGACTTCAAATGATCCACCTGCTTCGGTCTCCCAAAGTGCTGGGATTACAGGCATGAGCCACCACGCCTGGCCAGAGAGGCTCTTTTCAACAACCAGTTCTCTTGAGAACTAAGAATGAGAACTCACTTCTGCAAGAATGGCACCAAGCCATTCATGAGGGATCCACCCCCATGACCCATATACCCCCAAGCAGACCCCAGTCCCAACAGTGGGGGTCACATTTCAAAATGAGATTGAGTGGAGCCAAACAAACGATATCCAAACCGTAGCAGTAACAAACAACAATCAACACCTGTGACTCAGTCACCAACAGTTGTTGCTAATGCTTTGAAACATCATTTAAGTTCATCACCATTTTGAAGATACAATACTTATTTAAATCCATCAGTAGATCTTATTTAATGTATTAATAAAGAAGCATCTAACTATATCACATATTTTTAAAAAGTATTTGATAACTATTCTTCAGTATAATTGGTTTCTTTGGTATCCTATGTATTTAGTTTTATGCTTTTAAAAACAGCATTGTGAGAAAGAGTCAAGGGTTCTACAAGACTTCTAAAAGACACCATGTTTCTAAATCAAAGATTGGCACTCCCGGCAGTAGGTTTCTTGAATTGTCAGTTATAGATACATCAATCACAACAGAAACATG